>NW_021160027.1:0-300000 GCF_000001405.40 Homo sapiens | reverse complement strand
CAGGCCGAGGCGGCCGGAGCTGGTAACCAGGAGGGCGGCGACTCCGGCCCCGACAGCAGCGACGTGGTGCCTGCGGCCGAGGTGGTCGGAGTCGCAGGGCCCGTGGAAGGCCTCGGGGAGGAGGAGGGTGAGCAGGCGGCAGGCCTGGCCGCAGTCCCCCGGGGCGGGAGCGCCGAGGAGGACTCAGATATCGGGCCCGCGACGGAGGAAGAGGAGGAGGAAGAGGGGAACGAGGCGGCCAACTTCGACTTGGCGGTGGTCGCCCGTCGCTACCCGGCGTCGGGCATTCACTTCGTGCTCCTGGACATGGTCCACTCCCTTCTCCACCGCCTCTCTCACAACGACCACATCCTCATAGAGAACCGTCAACTCAGCCGCCTGATGGTGGGGCCACACGCTGCTGCGCGCAACCTCTGGGGCAACCTCCCCCCGCTGCTGCTGCCCCAGAGGCTGGGTGCAGGGGCCGCAGCCCGGGCGGGCGAGGGCCTGGGCCTGATCCAGGAGGCCGCATCGGTCCCAGAGCCTGCAGTGCCAGCTGACCTGGCCGAGATGGCCAGGGAGCCCGCGGAGGAGGCCGCAGAGGAGAAGCTCTCAGAGGAGGCCACAGAGGAACCAGACGCAGAGGAACCGGCCACAGAAGAACCGACCGCACAGGAGGCCACGGCCCCAGAGGGTAAGGAACGGGCTAGCGGCAGCAGCGGGGAGGCGGGGACCCGTGTGTCCCAGGGTTCTAGGCAGGGCCGCGGTGCGGGCATAGCTGGTGAAGCGGGTGGTGAAGGGGGGTCGGGGCCTCGGGTGGTGAAGCAGGAGTCGGGGCCCTCCTGAAACTTAAGGCAGAATGTGTCCCAATGAGTCGAAGCCCAATTCTCTAACGACATCTGTGGTTTTGAGAAAACTTGTCGCCCTCTACCAACCTATATTTGATAGGAGATCTGAGATCATCGGTGCCATTTGTGAGCCCGCAGATGAATGGCCGGGTAGATAGGGGTTCAGGAGGGAGCTCCGCAGGAAACAGAAGGGATGCGCCAAGGAAAAGAACAGGCAAATGGCAGGCATCCCTTTTAGTTCATGGCTTTTCAAAGTGTAAAGATTCGTAGAAAGTTGATCCCCCAAATGATGAAGTGATGCAGGAGCACTTGGTAAAAATGAAGCATTCAGGGGGGTGAGGAACCAATGAGCTTCACCATAGAATTTGTCTTTTGAGGTAAACAAATATTTTCCCAACAAAGTTCTGACCAAAACACCGTAGAATGAGATCGGACCCGATGATTCAGATCTCTTCTTCTCCAAAGAACTAGAAATAATCAGCCGCTTTGGGTGGGAGATTTACTGGAAAAAAGGGAAATACAGTGTCCCTGTGGAAATGATCAAGCAGCAGCAACGTGAGGGCCATGGAACTGTTGTGAAAACCAGTAGGAAGGTGCCCAGCTATTCCTTTCTTACTTAACTCTATCCTGCTTCTCCTGAGGGTGGAGTAGCTGAATGCCGCTGCTAGTTATAAATTGGGCTATATTTTCTGTGAATGTCTGGTCCCCATGTGTGTATTATTCTTCCCTAAAGAAGTCACTAAATCTCAGCCCGAAAAGTGGGATGAAGAGGCCCAAGATGCTGCAGGCGAGGAAGAGAAAGAACAAGAAAAAGAGAAGGATGCGGAAAACAAGGTGAAGAACTCCAAAGGGACCTAGACGCAGCAGAGGTGAAGCCAAGAAAATCCAGGTATCTGTGTATAGCTTTGAGAATCACTCAACTATTCCTGGCATTTACCTGTTGCAGACAGTTTTATTGAACAACAACAAAAATTCTCAGTAAGTTAAGTAAGAAAAAGTTTAAAATTAGTTTAAAAATTCAATTTAACTTACTTAAAATGTTACGAGAATATTCATGTACCTAGTAATATGAACTGCAGTGTGTTCTGAAATATACTTCTTGGCTACTCATTTGTTCATGTTGAGGTCTTTTGTCCTCTAGCTGCAAGACTACTAACAAGTGGCAGATGTATCAGACCTACTACCAGGACCAATATTTGTGTAGAAAACAGTTGCCAGACACAGCCGCTAACTTGGCTGGGCCACGCATTAGTTGGGCCTTCGTTACTTGACCACAGAAATGCAGGCTCCCGTAGTAACTAGGAGACAACTCAATGCCTTTTACAAAGTGACTACTTAAAAATAGCAAAAAGCTAAGAATTTCAAGTAGGACCACAATGAATGATTAATACCTAGATATTTATTTGGCTATATATTTTGGTATTTTATGTCACAGTCAGATGAAAAGAATGTGTGTTTATCACTGAATTGGTAATGAAGTCTTAAGGTATATCCATCTTTGAGTGTATTTAAATGGTTAACATTTTTCTTTCTTTCTTATTTATTTATTTATTTTGCATTTTCACAGCCGTATATTTCGTAACGGCTTCTTTCCCACATGGTAGATACGGAAACCAAGGGTCTGGGAGGGTAAGGGAGTATTATTTGTGGAACCAGCACAGGCTGTTGAAGCTTGAGAGATTTATTTAAATCCCAGAATGGCCCCTCATGTAAAAACAAAAGCAACAAGCTTTTCTAGTGCTAGGCAGACAAGGTTGGTGTGATCATTTGACTGAAACCTTCAGTTCCACAAGCACCCTGATATCCAAGCTCGTGAGTTACAAAAGGAAAAGATGGGCTTCTCTACTTGTTTAAGATATAGCACACAAATGTTGCAGATATACACAGAGCTGGCCATTTTCTTCTATTTAGAAAGTCACTGGTGCTGGTTAATGTTGTACTATTGTTTATCATCTCTCATTTCATCCCACAGTTGGGAGGAAAAGAAAGAAGACTCTGTTGTTCATTGTTTTTATCTTTTTCTCCAGATGCCTGTGGGAATTGTAACACATATCATTCCAAAGTTCGTTACATCAAAAGTGATATCCAGTGACATCTAACTTTCATGGATGTATGTGACAGTGTTCAAGTTAAAAAATAAAAGTTTGTTTTAAATGAATAAACTGAAACGTGGGAAGATTTTTCAATAAGTAATCTTAACTCAAATCTCTCCTTTACGTCTTTGTTTTGGCCCACCATACCTTCATTGAAAGATATTACTTTCCGCCATTTGGTAAGACTCTTTGAAATTCTTTCACTGCAGCCAAAAATCAAGTAAAATGACAAGTTTAAAACAATTTTTGAAAAGAGAGAGATGGGGCTCATCTTTAGAGCTGTGTGTTGTGACTACTGAGCACTTGTAATACGGCTAGTCTGATTTAATATGTGATGCAAGTGTGAAAATAATATTGCATATATTACTAATTTTTTTTTTTTTTTTTGAAACTGAGTCTCGCTCTGTCACCCAGGCTGGAGTGCAGTGGGGCCATCTTGGCTCACTGCAACCTCCACCTCCCAGGCTCCAGCAAATTTCCTGCCTCACCCTTCCGAGTAGCTGGGACTACAGGCGCGCACCACCATGTCCAGCTAATTTTTTGTATTTTTAGTACAGACAGGGTTTTACCATATTGGTCATGCTGGTCTCGAACTACTGACCTCAGGTGATCTGCCTGCCTCGGCCTCCCAAAGTGCGGCCTCCCAAAGTGCTGGATTACAGGCGTGAGCCACCACCCCCAGGCACTTTTGGTGTTTTTGATGCTTAGCTCTTATGAGATGACCTGGTCCTTTTAAAAAAAGTATCTCTTTTTTTCCCCATTATTTGGAGGTTTGAAGTGAATTTGGCAGGATTCATTAAACACCTTCCAGTGTCTGTCATTTACCACCTCAACACTCAGTGATGACTGCATCCATTTCAACTCTGCACATTCTTTTCTAAGTAGCTTTAACTACGTTAACTCAGTGAAATTCTTATGTCTCTTGGGAGGTTTTCACTACTGCTTAGCTATGAACTATATAACATTTTTATGACACTATCTCTACTGGCATGAGCCATTACTAGGTGGAAATAAGTGAACTCTGTGACCGCCTTGCAGTTCCCATGCTCCAGGGTGCCTCCACATGGGACTACTATAGTGTTGCTAATAATCATAAAATTAAAAGGGCAGGACTTGTGTGGACCTAAAGGGGTAGCCTTGGACACTAAGGCCTCATAGAAAAGGTAGAGCTCGGCCTGGCACGGTGGCTCATGCCTGTAATCCAAGCACTTTGGGAGGCTGAGGCAGGTGGATCACAAGGTCAGGAGATCGAGACCATCCTGGCCAACATGGTGAAACCCTGTCTCTACTAAAAATACAAAACCTAGCCAGGCGTGGTGGCATGTACCTGTAGTCCCAGCTACTCAGGAGGCTGAGGCAGGAGAATCACTGGAACCCAGGAGGCGGGGATTGCAGTGAGCCGAGATCTTGCCACTGCACTCCAGCCTGGGCAACAGAGCAACACTATGAAAAGAAAAGAAAAAGCTCTGGATTCTGGATTCTCAGTTCTAGAGCTTAAGGGCCTTGATCATTCATTGGACATAGAACATGTCAATCTGAAGTTTTCAGCAAATGAGCTTAGGGCTCACTGAGAGCCCCTCGTTGACCCTTCCGGTCCCGCCCCCTTTCGCCTGCCGACCAGAATCTTTCCCAACTTGTCTAAGTCCTCTCAGGCCAGCCTTGGTGGGAGGTTTCTAGGATTCGCTCCCTGCCCTTCCCATCTTAGGGTGTCGTCTGAGACAGACTCTTATTCCCTCAATAAAGAGAGAGACTCTTATTCCCTCAGCGGCCAGCTCCTCGCCTCCCCTCGGCCGTAGCCACCTCAGTGGTCACCGTCTTCACCGTGGTCGCCTCAGCCCGCTCGCCACCCCAGTTGAGGCGCTGCTGGTGTCATGTCTGCCACAGGGGACCGACACCCGACCCAAGGGGACCAGGAGGCCCCGGTAAGCCAGGAGGGAGCACAGGCCGAGGCGGCCGGAGCTGGTAACCAGGAGGGCGGCGACTCCGGCCCCGACAGCAGCGACGTGGTGCCTGCGGCCGAGGTGGTCGGAGTCGCAGGGCCCGTGGAAGGCCTCGGGGAGGAGGAGGGTGAGCAGGCGGCAGGCCTGGCCGCAGTCCCCCGGGGCGGGAGCGCCGAGGAGGACTCAGATATCGGGCCCGCGACGGAGGAAGAGGAGGAGGAAGAGGGGAACGAGGCGGCCAACTTCGACTTGGCGGTGGTCGCCCGTCGCTACCCGGCGTCGGGCATTCACTTCGTGCTCCTGGACATGGTCCACTCCCTTCTCCACCGCCTCTCTCACAACGACCACATCCTCATAGAGAACCGTCAACTCAGCCGCCTGATGGTGGGGCCACACGCTGCTGCGCGCAACCTCTGGGGCAACCTCCCCCCGCTGCTGCTGCCCCAGAGGCTGGGTGCAGGGGCCGCAGCCCGGGCGGGCGAGGGCCTGGGCCTGATCCAGGAGGCCGCATCGGTCCCAGAGCCTGCAGTGCCAGCTGACCTGGCCGAGATGGCCAGGGAGCCCGCGGAGGAGGCCGCAGAGGAGAAGCTCTCAGAGGAGGCCACAGAGGAACCAGACGCAGAGGAACCGGCCACAGAAGAACCGACCGCACAGGAGGCCACGGCCCCAGAGGGTAAGGAACGGGCTAGCGGCAGCAGCGGGGAGGCGGGGACCCGTGTGTCCCAGGGTTCTAGGCAGGGCCGCGGTGCGGGCATAGCTGGTGAAGCGGGTGGTGAAGGGGGGTCGGGGCCTCGGGTGGTGAAGCAGGAGTCGGGGCCCTCCTGAAACTTAAGGCAGAATGTGTCCCAATGAGTCGAAGCCCAATTCTCTAACGACATCTGTGGTTTTGAGAAAACTTGTCGCCCTCTACCAACCTATATTTGATAGGAGATCTGAGATCATCGGTGCCATTTGTGAGCCCGCAGATGAATGGCCGGGTAGATAGGGGTTCAGGAGGGAGCTCCGCAGGAAACAGAAGGGATGCGCCAAGGAAAAGAACAGGCAAATGGCAGGCATCCCTTTTAGTTCATGGCTTTTCAAAGTGTAAAGATTCGTAGAAAGTTGATCCCCCAAATGATGAAGTGATGCAGGAGCACTTGGTAAAAATGAAGCATTCAGGGGGGTGAGGAACCAATGAGCTTCACCATAGAATTTGTCTTTTGAGGTAAACAAATATTTTCCCAACAAAGTTCTGACCAAAACACCGTAGAATGAGATCGGACCCGATGATTCAGATCTCTTCTTCTCCAAAGAACTAGAAATAATCAGCCGCTTTGGGTGGGAGATTTACTGGAAAAAAGGGAAATACAGTGTCCCTGTGGAAATGATCAAGCAGCAGCAACGTGAGGGCCATGGAACTGTTGTGAAAACCAGTAGGAAGGTGCCCAGCTATTCCTTTCTTACTTAACTCTATCCTGCTTCTCCTGAGGGTGGAGTAGCTGAATGCCGCTGCTAGTTATAAATTGGGCTATATTTTCTGTGAATGTCTGGTCCCCATGTGTGTATTATTCTTCCCTAAAGAAGTCACTAAATCTCAGCCCGAAAAGTGGGATGAAGAGGCCCAAGATGCTGCAGGCGAGGAAGAGAAAGAACAAGAAAAAGAGAAGGATGCGGAAAACAAGGTGAAGAACTCCAAAGGGACCTAGACGCAGCAGAGGTGAAGCCAAGAAAATCCAGGTATCTGTGTATAGCTTTGAGAATCACTCAACTATTCCTGGCATTTACCTGTTGCAGACAGTTTTATTGAACAACAACAAAAATTCTCAGTAAGTTAAGTAAGAAAAAGTTTAAAATTAGTTTAAAAATTCAATTTAACTTACTTAAAATGTTACGAGAATATTCATGTACCTAGTAATATGAACTGCAGTGTGTTCTGAAATATACTTCTTGGCTACTCATTTGTTCATGTTGAGGTCTTTTGTCCTCTAGCTGCAAGACTACTAACAAGTGGCAGATGTATCAGACCTACTACCAGGACCAATATTTGTGTAGAAAACAGTTGCCAGACACAGCCGCTAACTTGGCTGGGCCACGCATTAGTTGGGCCTTCGTTACTTGACCACAGAAATGCAGGCTCCCGTAGTAACTAGGAGACAACTCAATGCCTTTTACAAAGTGACTACTTAAAAATAGCAAAAAGCTAAGAATTTCAAGTAGGACCACAATGAATGATTAATACCTAGATATTTATTTGGCTATATATTTTGGTATTTTATGTCACAGTCAGATGAAAAGAATGTGTGTTTATCACTGAATTGGTAATGAAGTCTTAAGGTATATCCATCTTTGAGTGTATTTAAATGGTTAACATTTTTCTTTCTTTCTTATTTATTTATTTATTTTGCATTTTCACAGCCGTATATTTCGTAACGGCTTCTTTCCCACATGGTAGATACGGAAACCAAGGGTCTGGGAGGGTAAGGGAGTATTATTTGTGGAACCAGCACAGGCTGTTGAAGCTTGAGAGATTTATTTAAATCCCAGAATGGCCCCTCATGTAAAAACAAAAGCAACAAGCTTTTCTAGTGCTAGGCAGACAAGGTTGGTGTGATCATTTGACTGAAACCTTCAGTTCCACAAGCACCCTGATATCCAAGCTCGTGAGTTACAAAAGGAAAAGATGGGCTTCTCTACTTGTTTAAGATATAGCACACAAATGTTGCAGATATACACAGAGCTGGCCATTTTCTTCTATTTAGAAAGTCACTGGTGCTGGTTAATGTTGTACTATTGTTTATCATCTCTCATTTCATCCCACAGTTGGGAGGAAAAGAAAGAAGACTCTGTTGTTCATTGTTTTTATCTTTTTCTCCAGATGCCTGTGGGAATTGTAACACATATCATTCCAAAGTTCGTTACATCAAAAGTGATATCCAGTGACATCTAACTTTCATGGATGTATGTGACAGTGTTCAAGTTAAAAAATAAAAGTTTGTTTTAAATGAATAAACTGAAACGTGGGAAGATTTTTCAATAAGTAATCTTAACTCAAATCTCTCCTTTACGTCTTTGTTTTGGCCCACCATACCTTCATTGAAAGATATTACTTTCCGCCATTTGGTAAGACTCTTTGAAATTCTTTCACTGCAGCCAAAAATCAAGTAAAATGACAAGTTTAAAACAATTTTTGAAAAGAGAGAGATGGGGCTCATCTTTAGAGCTGTGTGTTGTGACTACTGAGCACTTGTAATACGGCTAGTCTGATTTAATATGTGATGCAAGTGTGAAAATAATATTGCATATATTACTAATTTTTTTTTTTTTTTTTGAAACTGAGTCTCGCTCTGTCACCCAGGCTGGAGTGCAGTGGGGCCATCTTGGCTCACTGCAACCTCCACCTCCCAGGCTCCAGCAAATTTCCTGCCTCACCCTTCCGAGTAGCTGGGACTACAGGCGCGCACCACCATGTCCAGCTAATTTTTTGTATTTTTAGTACAGACAGGGTTTTACCATATTGGTCATGCTGGTCTCGAACTACTGACCTCAGGTGATCTGCCTGCCTCGGCCTCCCAAAGTGCGGCCTCCCAAAGTGCTGGATTACAGGCGTGAGCCACCACCCCCAGGCACTTTTGGTGTTTTTGATGCTTAGCTCTTATGAGATGACCTGGTCCTTTTAAAAAAAGTATCTCTTTTTTTCCCCATTATTTGGAGGTTTGAAGTGAATTTGGCAGGATTCATTAAACACCTTCCAGTGTCTGTCATTTACCACCTCAACACTCAGTGATGACTGCATCCATTTCAACTCTGCACATTCTTTTCTAAGTAGCTTTAACTACGTTAACTCAGTGAAATTCTTATGTCTCTTGGGAGGTTTTCATTACTGCTTAGCTATGAACTATATAACATTTTTATGACACTATCTCTACTGGCATGAGCCATTACTAGGTGGAAATAAGTGAACTCTGTGACCGCCTTGCAGTTCCCATGCTCCAGGGTGCCTCCACATGGGACTACTATAGTGTTGCTAATAATCATAAAATTAAAAGGGCAGGACTTGTGTGGACCTAAAGGGGTAGCCTTGGACACTAAGGCCTCATAGAAAAGGTAGAGCTCGGCCTGGCACGGTGGCTCATGCCTGTAATCCAAGCACTTTGGGAGGCTGAGGCAGGTGGATCACAAGGTCAGGAGATCGAGACCATCCTGGCCAACATGGTGAAACCCTGTCTCTACTAAAAATACAAAACCTAGCCAGGCGTGGTGGCATGTACCTGTAGTCCCAGCTACTCAGGAGGCTGAGGCAGGAGAATCACTGGAACCCAGGAGGCGGGGATTGCAGTGAGCCGAGATCTTGCCACTGCACTCCAGCCTGGGCAACAGAGCAACACTATGAAAAGAAAAGAAAAAGCTCTGGATTCTGGATTCTCAGTTCTAGAGCTTAAGGGCCTTGATCATTCATTGGACATAGAACATGTCAATCTGAAGTTTTCAGCAAATGAGCTTAGGGCTCACTGAGAGCCCCTCGTTGACCCTTCCGGTCCCGCCCCCTTTCGCCTGCCGACCAGAATCTTTCCCAACTTGTCTAAGTCCTCTCAGGCCAGCCTTGGTGGGAGGTTTCTAGGATTCGCTCCCTGCCCTTCCCATCTTAGGGTGTCGTCTGAGACAGACTCTTATTCCCTCAATAAAGAGAGAGACTCTTATTCCCTCAGCGGCCAGCTCCTCGCCTCCCCTCGGCCGTAGCCACCTCAGTGGTCACCGTCTTCACCGTGGTCGCCTCAGCCCGCTCGCCACCCCAGTTGAGGCGCTGCTGGTGTCATGTCTGCCACAGGGGACCGACACCCGACCCAAGGGGACCAGGAGGCCCCGGTAAGCCAGGAGGGAGCACAGGCCGAGGCGGCCGGAGCTGGTAACCAGGAGGGCGGCGACTCCGGCCCCGACAGCAGCGACGTGGTGCCTGCGGCCGAGGTGGTCGGAGTCGCAGGGCCCGTGGAAGGCCTCGGGGAGGAGGAGGGTGAGCAGGCGGCAGGCCTGGCCGCAGTCCCCCGGGGCGGGAGCGCCGAGGAGGACTCAGATATCGGGCCCGCGACGGAGGAAGAGGAGGAGGAAGAGGGGAACGAGGCGGCCAACTTCGACTTGGCGGTGGTCGCCCGTCGCTACCCGGCGTCGGGCATTCACTTCGTGCTCCTGGACATGGTCCACTCCCTTCTCCACCGCCTCTCTCACAACGACCACATCCTCATAGAGAACCGTCAACTCAGCCGCCTGATGGTGGGGCCACACGCTGCTGCGCGCAACCTCTGGGGCAACCTCCCCCCGCTGCTGCTGCCCCAGAGGCTGGGTGCAGGGGCCGCAGCCCGGGCGGGCGAGGGCCTGGGCCTGATCCAGGAGGCCGCATCGGTCCCAGAGCCTGCAGTGCCAGCTGACCTGGCCGAGATGGCCAGGGAGCCCGCGGAGGAGGCCGCAGAGGAGAAGCTCTCAGAGGAGGCCACAGAGGAACCAGACGCAGAGGAACCGGCCACAGAAGAACCGACCGCACAGGAGGCCACGGCCCCAGAGGGTAAGGAACGGGCTAGCGGCAGCAGCGGGGAGGCGGGGACCCGTGTGTCCCAGGGTTCTAGGCAGGGCCGCGGTGCGGGCATAGCTGGTGAAGCGGGTGGTGAAGGGGGGTCGGGGCCTCGGGTGGTGAAGCAGGAGTCGGGGCCCTCCTGAAACTTAAGGCAGAATGTGTCCCAATGAGTCGAAGCCCAATTCTCTAACGACATCTGTGGTTTTGAGAAAACTTGTCGCCCTCTACCAACCTATATTTGATAGGAGATCTGAGATCATCGGTGCCATTTGTGAGCCCGCAGATGAATGGCCGGGTAGATAGGGGTTCAGGAGGGAGCTCCGCAGGAAACAGAAGGGATGCGCCAAGGAAAAGAACAGGCAAATGGCAGGCATCCCTTTTAGTTCATGGCTTTTCAAAGTGTAAAGATTCGTAGAAAGTTGATCCCCCAAATGATGAAGTGATGCAGGAGCACTTGGTAAAAATGAAGCATTCAGGGGGGTGAGGAACCAATGAGCTTCACCATAGAATTTGTCTTTTGAGGTAAACAAATATTTTCCCAACAAAGTTCTGACCAAAACACCGTAGAATGAGATCGGACCCGATGATTCAGATCTCTTCTTCTCCAAAGAACTAGAAATAATCAGCCGCTTTGGGTGGGAGATTTACTGGAAAAAAGGGAAATACAGTGTCCCTGTGGAAATGATCAAGCAGCAGCAACGTGAGGGCCATGGAACTGTTGTGAAAACCAGTAGGAAGGTGCCCAGCTATTCCTTTCTTACTTAACTCTATCCTGCTTCTCCTGAGGGTGGAGTAGCTGAATGCCGCTGCTAGTTATAAATTGGGCTATATTTTCTGTGAATGTCTGGTCCCCATGTGTGTATTATTCTTCCCTAAAGAAGTCACTAAATCTCAGCCCGAAAAGTGGGATGAAGAGGCCCAAGATGCTGCAGGCGAGGAAGAGAAAGAACAAGAAAAAGAGAAGGATGCGGAAAACAAGGTGAAGAACTCCAAAGGGACCTAGACGCAGCAGAGGTGAAGCCAAGAAAATCCAGGTATCTGTGTATAGCTTTGAGAATCACTCAACTATTCCTGGCATTTACCTGTTGCAGACAGTTTTATTGAACAACAACAAAAATTCTCAGTAAGTTAAGTAAGAAAAAGTTTAAAATTAGTTTAAAAATTCAATTTAACTTACTTAAAATGTTACGAGAATATTCATGTACCTAGTAATATGAACTGCAGTGTGTTCTGAAATATACTTCTTGGCTACTCATTTGTTCATGTTGAGGTCTTTTGTCCTCTAGCTGCAAGACTACTAACAAGTGGCAGATGTATCAGACCTACTACCAGGACCAATATTTGTGTAGAAAACAGTTGCCAGACACAGCCGCTAACTTGGCTGGGCCACGCATTAGTTGGGCCTTCGTTACTTGACCACAGAAATGCAGGCTCCCGTAGTAACTAGGAGACAACTCAATGCCTTTTACAAAGTGACTACTTAAAAATAGCAAAAAGCTAAGAATTTCAAGTAGGACCACAATGAATGATTAATACCTAGATATTTATTTGGCTATATATTTTGGTATTTTATGTCACAGTCAGATGAAAAGAATGTGTGTTTATCACTGAATTGGTAATGAAGTCTTAAGGTATATCCATCTTTGAGTGTATTTAAATGGTTAACATTTTTCTTTCTTTCTTATTTATTTATTTATTTTGCATTTTCACAGCCGTATATTTCGTAACGGCTTCTTTCCCACATGGTAGATACGGAAACCAAGGGTCTGGGAGGGTAAGGGAGTATTATTTGTGGAACCAGCACAGGCTGTTGAAGCTTGAGAGATTTATTTAAATCCCAGAATGGCCCCTCATGTAAAAACAAAAGCAACAAGCTTTTCTAGTGCTAGGCAGACAAGGTTGGTGTGATCATTTGACTGAAACCTTCAGTTCCACAAGCACCCTGATATCCAAGCTCGTGAGTTACAAAAGGAAAAGATGGGCTTCTCTACTTGTTTAAGATATAGCACACAAATGTTGCAGATATACACAGAGCTGGCCATTTTCTTCTATTTAGAAAGTCACTGGTGCTGGTTAATGTTGTACTATTGTTTATCATCTCTCATTTCATCCCACAGTTGGGAGGAAAAGAAAGAAGACTCTGTTGTTCATTGTTTTTATCTTTTTCTCCAGATGCCTGTGGGAATTGTAACACATATCATTCCAAAGTTCGTTACATCAAAAGTGATATCCAGTGACATCTAACTTTCATGGATGTATGTGACAGTGTTCAAGTTAAAAAATAAAAGTTTGTTTTAAATGAATAAACTGAAACGTGGGAAGATTTTTCAATAAGTAATCTTAACTCAAATCTCTCCTTTACGTCTTTGTTTTGGCCCACCATACCTTCATTGAAAGATATTACTTTCCGCCATTTGGTAAGACTCTTTGAAATTCTTTCACTGCAGCCAAAAATCAAGTAAAATGACAAGTTTAAAACAATTTTTGAAAAGAGAGAGATGGGGCTCATCTTTAGAGCTGTGTGTTGTGACTACTGAGCACTTGTAATACGGCTAGTCTGATTTAATATGTGATGCAAGTGTGAAAATAATATTGCATATATTACTAATTTTTTTTTTTTTTTTTGAAACTGAGTCTCGCTCTGTCACCCAGGCTGGAGTGCAGTGGGGCCATCTTGGCTCACTGCAACCTCCACCTCCCAGGCTCCAGCAAATTTCCTGCCTCACCCTTCCGAGTAGCTGGGACTACAGGCGCGCACCACCATGTCCAGCTAATTTTTTGTATTTTTAGTACAGACAGGGTTTTACCATATTGGTCATGCTGGTCTCGAACTACTGACCTCAGGTGATCTGCCTGCCTCGGCCTCCCAAAGTGCAGCCTCCCAAAGTGCTGGATTACAGGCGTGAGCCACCACCCCCAGGCACTTTTGGTGTTTTTGATGCTTAGCTCTTATGAGATGACCTGGTCCTTTTAAAAAAAGTATCTCTTTTTTTCCCCATTATTTGGAGGTTTGAAGTGAATTTGGCAGGATTCATTAAACACCTTCCAGTGTCTGTCATTTACCACCTCAACACTCAGTGATGACTGCATCCATTTCAACTCTGCACATTCTTTTCTAAGTAGCTTTAACTACGTTAACTCAGTGAAATTCTTATGTCTCTTGGGAGGTTTTCACTACTGCTTAGCTATGAACTATATAACATTTTTATGACACTAT
Source organism: Homo sapiens (assembly GCF_000001405.40). Taxonomy (NCBI): domain Eukaryota; kingdom Metazoa; phylum Chordata; class Mammalia; order Primates; family Hominidae; genus Homo; species Homo sapiens. Next base: position 286,381 of record NW_021160027.1, on the reverse strand, counting down.
CTCTACTGGCATGAGCCATTACTAGGTGGAAATAAGTGAACTCTGTGACCGCCTTGCAGTTCCCATGCTCCAGGGTGCCTCCACATGGGACTACTATAGTGTTGCTAATAATCATAAAATTAAAAGGGCAGGACTTGTGTGGACCTAAAGGGGTAGCCTTGGACACTAAGGCCTCATAGAAAAGGTAGAGCTCGGCCTGGCACGGTGGCTCATGCCTGTAATCCAAGCACTTTGGGAGGCTGAGGCAGGTGGATCACAAGGTCAGGAGATCGAGACCATCCTGGCCAACATGGTGAAACCCTGTCTCTACTAAAAATACAAAACCTAGCCAGGCGTGGTGGCATGTACCTGTAGTCCCAGCTACTCAGGAGGCTGAGGCAGGAGAATCACTGGAACCCAGGAGGCGGGGATTGCAGTGAGCCGAGATCTTGCCACTGCACTCCAGCCTGGGCAACAGAGCAACACTATGAAAAGAAAAGAAAAAGCTCTGGATTCTGGATTCTCAGTTCTAGAGCTTAAGGGCCTTGATCATTCATTGGACATAGAACATGTCAATCTGAAGTTTTCAGCAAATGAGCTTAGGGCTCACTGAGAGCCCCTCGTTGACCCTTCCGGTCCCGCCCCCTTTCGCCTGCCGACCAGAATCTTTCCCAACTTGTCTAAGTCCTCTCAGGCCAGCCTTGGTGGGAGGTTTCTAGGATTCGCTCCCTGCCCTTCCCATCTTAGGGTGTCGTCTGAGACAGACTCTTATTCCCTCAATAAAGAGAGAGACTCTTACTCCCTCAGCGGCCAGCTCCTCGCCTCCCCTCGGCCGTAGCCACCTCAGTGGTCACCGTCTTCACCGTGGTCGCCTCAGCCCGCTCGCCACCCCAGTTGAGGCGCTGCTGGTGTCATGTCTGCCACAGGGGACCGACACCCGACCCAAGGGGACCAGGAGGCCCCGGTAAGCCAGGAGGGAGCACAGGCCGAGGCGGCCGGAGCTGGTAACCAGGAGGGCGGCGACTCCGGCCCCGACAGCAGCGACGTGGTGCCTGCGGCCGAGGTGGTCGGAGTCGCAGGGCCCGTGGAAGGCCTCGGGGAGGAGGAGGGTGAGCAGGCGGCAGGCCTGGCCGCAGTCCCCCGGGGCGGGAGCGCCGAGGAGGACTCAGATATCGGGCCCGCGACGGAGGAAGAGGAGGAGGAAGAGGGGAACGAGGCGGCCAACTTCGACTTGGCGGTGGTCGCCCGTCGCTACCCGGCGTCGGGCATTCACTTCGTGCTCCTGGACATGGTCCACTCCCTTCTCCACCGCCTCTCTCACAACGACCACATCCTCATAGAGAACCGTCAACTCAGCCGCCTGATGGTGGGGCCACACGCTGCTGCGCGCAACCTCTGGGGCAACCTCCCCCCGCTGCTGCTGCCCCAGAGGCTGGGTGCAGGGGCCGCAGTCCGGGCGGGCGAGGGCCTGGGCCTGATCCAGGAGGCCGCATCGGTCCCAGAGCCTGCAGTGCCAGCTGACCTGGCGGAGATGGCCAGGGAGCCCGCGGAGGAGGCCGCAGAGGAGAAGCTCTCAGAGGAGGCCACAGAGGAACCAGACGCAGAGGAACCGGCCACAGAAGAACCGACCGCACAGGAGGCCACGGCCCCAGAGGGTAAGGAACGGGCTAGCGGCAGCAGCGGGGAGGCGGGGACCCGTGTGTCCCAGGGTTCTAGGCAGGGCCGCGGTGCGGGCATAGCTGGTGAAGCGGGTGGTGAAGGGGGGTCGGGGCCTCGGGTGGTGAAGCAGGAGTCGGGGCCCTCCTGAAACTTAAGGCAGAATGTGTCCCAATGAGTCGAAGCCCAATTCTCTAACGACATCTGTGGTTTTGAGAAAACTTGTCGCCCTCTACCAACCTATATTTGATAGGAGATCTGAGATCATCGGTGCCATTTGTGAGCCCGCAGATGAATGGCCGGGTAGATAGGGGTTCAGGAGGGAGCTCCGCAGGAAACAGAAGGGATGCGCCAAGGAAAAGAACAGGCAAATGGCAGGCATCCCTTTTAGTTCATGGCTTTTCAAAGTGTAAAGATTCGTAGAAAGTTGATCCCCCAAATGATGAAGTGATGCAGGAGCACTTGGTAAAAATGAAGCATTCAGGGGGGTGAGGAACCAATGAGCTTCACCATAGAATTTGTCTTTTGAGGTAAACAAATATTTTCCCAACAAAGTTCTGACCAAAACACCGTAGAATGAGATCGGACCCGATGATTCAGATCTCTTCTTCTCCAAAGAACTAGAAATAATCAGCCGCTTTGGGTGGGAGATTTACTGGAAAAAAGGGAAATACAGTGTCCCTGTGGAAATGATCAAGCAGCAGCAACGTGAGGGCCATGGAACTGTTGTGAAAACCAGTAGGAAGGTGCCCAGCTATTCCTTTCTTACTTAACTCTATCCTGCTTCTCCTGAGGGTGGAGTAGCTGAATGCCGCTGCTAGTTATAAATTGGGCTATATTTTCTGTGAATGTCTGGTCCCCATGTGTGTATTATTCTTCCCTAAAGAAGTCACTAAATCTCAGCCCGAAAAGTGGGATGAAGAGGCCCAAGATGCTGCAGGCGAGGAAGAGAAAGAACAAGAAAAAGAGAAGGATGCGGAAAACAAGGTGAAGAACTCCAAAGGGACCTAGACGCAGCAGAGGTGAAGCCAAGAAAATCCAGGTATCTGTGTATAGCTTTGAGAATCACTCAACTATTCCTGGCATTTACCTGTTGCAGACAGTTTTATTGAACAACAACAAAAATTCTCAGTAAGTTAAGTAAGAAAAAGTTTAAAATTAGTTTAAAAATTCAATTTAACTTACTTAAAATGTTACGAGAATATTCATGTACCTAGTAATATGAACTGCAGTGTGTTCTGAAATATACTTCTTGGCTACTCATTTGTTCATGTTGAGGTCTTTTGTCCTCTAGCTGCAAGACTACTAACAAGTGGCAGATGTATCAGACCTACTACCAGGACCAATATTTGTGTAGAAAACAGTTGCCAGACACAGCCGCTAACTTGGCTGGGCCACGCATTAGTTGGGCCTTCGTTACTTGACCACAGAAATGCAGGCTCCCGTAGTAACTAGGAGACAACTCAATGCCTTTTACAAAGTGACTACTTAAAAATAGCAAAAAGCTAAGAATTTCAAGTAGGACCACAATGAATGATTAATACCTAGATATTTATTTGGCTATATATTTTGGTATTTTATGTCACAGTCAGATGAAAAGAATGTGTGTTTATCACTGAATTGGTAATGAAGTCTTAAGGTATATCCATCTTTGAGTGTATTTAAATGGTTAACATTTTTCTTTCTTTCTTATTTATTTATTTATTTTGCATTTTCACAGCCGTATATTTCGTAACGGCTTCTTTCCCACATGGTAGATACGGAAACCAAGGGTCTGGGAGGGTAAGGGAGTATTATTTGTGGAACCAGCACAGGCTGTTGAAGCTTGAGAGATTTATTTAAATCCCAGAATGGCCCCTCATGTAAAAACAAAAGCAACAAGCTTTTCTAGTGCTAGGCAGACAAGGTTGGTGTGATCATTTGACTGAAACCTTCAGTTCCACAAGCACCCTGATATCCAAGCTCGTGAGTTACAAAAGGAAAAGATGGGCTTCTCTACTTGTTTAAGATATAGCACACAAATGTTGCAGATATACACAGAGCTGGCCATTTTCTTCTATTTAGAAAGTCACTGGTGCTGGTTAATGTTGTACTATTGTTTATCATCTCTCATTTCATCCCACAGTTGGGAGGAAAAGAAAGAAGACTCTGTTGTTCATTGTTTTTATCTTTTTCTCCAGATGCCTGTGGGAATTGTAACACATATCATTCCAAAGTTCGTTACATCAAAAGTGATATCCAGTGACATCTAACTTTCATGGATGTATGTGACAGTGTTCAAGTTAAAAAATAAAAGTTTGTTTTAAATGAATAAACTGAAACGTGGGAAGATTTTTCAATAAGTAATCTTAACTCAAATCTCTCCTTTACGTCTTTGTTTTGGCCCACCATACCTTCATTGAAAGATATTACTTTCCGCCATTTGGTAAGACTCTTTGAAATTCTTTCACTGCAGCCAAAAATCAAGTAAAATGACAAGTTTAAAACAATTTTTGAAAAGAGAGAGATGGGGCTCATCTTTAGAGCTGTGTGTTGTGACTACTGAGCACTTGTAATACGGCTAGTCTGATTTAATATGTGATGCAAGTGTGAAAATAATATTGCATATATTACTAATTTTTTTTTTTTTTTTTGAAACTGAGTCTCGCTCTGTCACCCAGGCTGGAGTGCAGTGGGGCCATCTTGGCTCACTGCAACCTCCACCTCCCAGGCTCCAGCAAATTTCCTGCCTCACCCTTCCGAGTAGCTGGGACTACAGGCGCGCACCACCATGTCCAGCTAATTTTTTGTATTTTTAGTACAGACAGGGTTTTACCATATTGGTCATGCTGGTCTCGAACTACTGACCTCAGGTGATCTGCCTGCCTCGGCCTCCCAAAGTGCGGCCTCCCAAAGTGCTGGATTACAGGCGTGAGCCACCACCCCCAGGCACTTTTGGTGTTTTTGATGCTTAGCTCTTATGAGATGACCTGGTCCTTCTAAAAAAAGTATCTCTTTTTTTCCCCATTATTTGGAGGTTTGAAGTGAATTTGGCAGGATTCATTAAACACCTTCCAGTGTCTGTCATTTACCACCTCAACACTCAGTGATGACTGCATCCATTTCAACTCTGCACATTCTTTTCTAAGTAGCTTTAACTACGTTAACTCAGTGAAATTCTTATGTCTCTTGGGAGGTTTTCACTACTGCTTAGCTATGAACTATATAACATTTTTATGACACTATCTCTACTGGCATGAGCCATTACTAGGTGGAAATAAGTGAACTCTGTGACCGCCTTGCAGTTCCCATGCTCCAGGGTGCCTCCACATGGGACTACTATAGTGTTGCTAATAATCATAAAATTAAAAGGGCAGGACTTGTGTGGACCTAAAGGGGTAGCCTTGGACACTAAGGCCTCATAGAAAAGGTAGAGCTCGACCTGGCACGGTGGCTCATGCCTGTAATCCAAGCACTTTGGGAGGCTGAGGCAGGTGGATCACAAGGTCAGGAGATCGAGACCATCCTGGCCAACATGGTGAAACCCTGTCTCTACTAAAAATACAAAACCTAGCCAGGCGTGGTGGCATGTACCTGTAGTCCCAGCTACTCAGGAGGCTGAGGCAGGAGAATCACTGGAACCCAGGAGGCGGGGATTGCAGTGAGCCGAGATCTTGCCACTGCACTCCAGCCTGGGCAACAGAGCAACACTATGAAAAGAAAAGAAAAAGCTCTGGATTCTGGATTCTCAGTTCTAGAGCTTAAGGGCCTTGATCATTCATTGGACATAGAACATGTCAATCTGAAGTTTTCAGCAAATGAGCTTAGGGCTCACTGAGAGCCCCTCGTTGACCCTTCCGGTCCCGCCCCCTTTCGCCTGCCAACCAGAATCTTTCCCAACTTGTCTAAGTCCTCTCAGGCCAGCCTTGGTGGGAGGTTTCTAGGATTCGCTCCCTGCCCTTCCCATCTTAGGGTGTCGTCTGAGACAGACTCTTATTCCCTCAATAAAGAGAGAGACTCTTATTCCCTCAGCGGCCAGCTCCTCGCCTCCCCTCGGCCGTAGCCACCTCAGTGGTCACCGTCTTCACCGTGGTCGCCTCAGCCCGCTCGCCACCCCAGTTGAGGCGCTGCTGGTGTCATGTCTGCCACAGGGGACCGACACCCGACCCAAGGGGACCAGGAGGCCCCGGTAAGCCAGGAGGGAGCACAGGCCGAGGCGGCCGGAGCTGGTAACCAGGAGGGCGGCGACTCCGGCCCCGACAGCAGCGACGTGGTGCCTGCGGCCGAGGTGGTCGGAGTCGCAGGGCCCGTGGAAGGCCTCGGGGAGGAGGAGGGTGAGCAGGCGGCAGGCCTGGCCGCAGTCCCCCGGGGCGGGAGCGCCGAGGAGGACTCAGATATCGGGCCCGCGACGGAGGAAGAGGAGGAGGAAGAGGGGAACGAGGCGGCCAACTTCGACTTGGCGGTGGTCGCCCGTCGCTACCCGGCGTCGGGCATTCACTTCGTGCTCCTGGACATGGTCCACTCCCTTCTCCACCGCCTCTCTCACAACGACCACATCCTCATAGAGAACCGTCAACTCAGCCGCCTGATGGTGGGGCCACACGCTGCTGCGCGCAACCTCTGGGGCAACCTCCCCCCGCTGCTGCTGCCCCAGAGGCTGGGTGCAGGGGCCGCAGCCCGGGCGGGCGAGGGCCTGGGCCTGATCCAGGAGGCCGCATCGGTCCCAGAGCCTGCAGTGCCAGCTGACCTGGCCGAGATGGCCAGGGAGCCCGCGGAGGAGGCCGCAGAGGAGAAGCTCTCAGAGGAGGCCACAGAGGAACCAGACGCAGAGGAACCGGCCACAGAAGAACCGACCGCACAGGAGGCCACGGCCCCAGAGGGTAAGGAACGGGCTAGCGGCAGCAGCGGGGAGGCGGGGACCCGTGTGTCCCAGGGTTCTAGGCAGGGCCGCGGTGCGGGCATAGCTGGTGAAGCGGGTGGTGAAGGGGGGTCGGGGCCTCGGGTGGTGAAGCAGGAGTCGGGGCCCTCCTGAAACTTAAGGCAGAATGTGTCCCAATGAGTCGAAGCCCAATTCTCTAACGACATCTGTGGTTTTGAGAAAACTTGTCGCCCTCTACCAACCTATATTTGATAGGAGATCTGAGATCATCGGTGCCATTTGTGAGCCCGCAGATGAATGGCCGGGTAGATAGGGGTTCAGGAGGGAGCTCCGCAGGAAACAGAAGGGATGCGCCAAGGAAAAGAACAGGCAAATGGCAGGCATCCCTTTTAGTTCATGGCTTTTCAAAGTGTAAAGATTCGTAGAAAGTTGATCCCCCAAATGATGAAGTGATGCAGGAGCACTTGGTAAAAATGAAGCATTCAGGGGGGTGAGGAACCAATGAGCTTCACCATAGAATTTGTCTTTTGAGGTAAACAAATATTTTCCCAACAAAGTTCTGACCAAAACACCGTAGAATGAGATCGGACCCGATGATTCAGATCTCTTCTTCTCCAAAGAACTAGAAATAATCAGCCGCTTTGGGTGGGAGATTTACTGGAAAAAAGGGAAATACAGTGTCCCTGTGGAAATGATCAAGCAGCAGCAACGTGAGGGCCATGGAACTGTTGTGAAAACCAGTAGGAAGGTGCCCAGCTATTCCTTTCTTACTTAACTCTATCCTGCTTCTCCTGAGGGTGGAGTAGCTGAATGCCGCTGCTAGTTATAAATTGGGCTATATTTTCTGTGAATGTCTGGTCCCCATGTGTGTATTATTCTTCCCTAAAGAAGTCACTAAATCTCAGCCCGAAAAGTGGGATGAAGAGGCCCAAGATGCTGCAGGCGAGGAAGAGAAAGAACAAGAAAAAGAGAAGGATGCGGAAAACAAGGTGAAGAACTCCAAAGGGACCTAGACGCAGCAGAGGTGAAGCCAAGAAAATCCAGGTATCTGTGTATAGCTTTGAGAATCACTCAACTATTCCTGGCATTTACCTGTTGCAGACAGTTTTATTGAACAACAACAAAAATTCTCAGTAAGTTAAGTAAGAAAAAGTTTAAAATTAGTTTAAAAATTCAATTTAACTTACTTAAAATGTTACGAGAATATTCATGTACCTAGTAATATGAACTGCAGTGTGTTCTGAAATATACTTCTTGGCTACTCATTTGTTCATGTTGAGGTCTTTTGTCCTCTAGCTGCAAGACTACTAACAAGTGGCAGATGTATCAGACCTACTACCAGGACCAATATTTGTGTAGAAAACAGTTGCCAGACACAGCCGCTAACTTGGCTGGGCCACGCATTAGTTGGGCCTTCGTTACTTGACCACAGAAATGCAGGCTCCCGTAGTAACTAGGAGACAACTCAATGCCTTTTACAAAGTGACTACTTAAAAATAGCAAAAAGCTAAGAATTTCAAGTAGGACCACAATGAATGATTAATACCTAGATATTTATTTGGCTATATATTTTGGTATTTTATGTCACAGTCAGATGAAAAGAATGTGTGTTTATCACTGAATTGGTAATGAAGTCTTAAGGTATATCCATCTTTGAGTGTATTTAAATGGTTAACATTTTTCTTTCTTTCTTATTTATTTATTTATTTTGCATTTTCACAGCCGTATATTTCGTAACGGCTTCTTTCCCACATGGTAGATACGGAAACCAAGGGTCTGGGAGGGTAAGGGAGTATTATTTGTGGAACCAGCACAGGCTGTTGAAGCTTGAGAGATTTATTTAAATCCCAGAATGGCCCCTCATGTAAAAACAAAAGCAACAAGCTTTTCTAGTGCTAGGCAGACAAGGTTGGTGTGATCATTTGACTGAAACCTTCAGTTCCACAAGCACCCTGATATCCAAGCTCGTGAGTTACAAAAGGAAAAGATGGGCTTCTCTACTTGTTTAAGATATAGCACACAAATGTTGCAGATATACACAGAGCTGGCCATTTTCTTCTATTTAGAAAGTCACTGGTGCTGGTTAATGTTGTACTATTGTTTATCATCTCTCATTTCATCCCACAGTTGGGAGGAAAAGAAAGAAGACTCTGTTGTTCATTGTTTTTATCTTTTTCTCCAGATGCCTGTGGGAATTGTAACACATATCATTCCAAAGTTCGTTACATCAAAAGTGATATCCAGTGACATCTAACTTTCATGGATGTATGTGACAGTGTTCAAGTTAAAAAATAAAAGTTTGTTTTAAATGAATAAACTGAAACGTGGGAAGATTTTTCAATAAGTAATCTTAACTCAAATCTCTCCTTTACGTCTTTGTTTTGGCCCACCATACCTTCATTGAAAGATATTACTTTCCGCCATTTGGTAAGACTCTTTGAAATTCTTTCACTGCAGCCAAAAATCAAGTAAAATGACAAGTTTAAAACAATTTTTGAAAAGAGAGAGATGGGGCTCATCTTTAGAGCTGTGTGTTGTGACTACTGAGCACTTGTAATACGGCTAGTCTGATTTAATATGTGATGCAAGTGTGAAAATAATATTGCATATATTACTAATTTTTTTTTTTTTTTTTGAAACTGAGTCTCGCTCTGTCACCCAGGCTGGAGTGCAGTGGGGCCATCTTGGCTCACTGCAACCTCCACCTCCCAGGCTCCAGCAAATTTCCTGCCTCACCCTTCCGAGTAGCTGGGACTACAGGCGCGCACCACCATGTCCAGCTAATTTTTTGTATTTTTAGTACAGACAGGGTTTTACCATATTGGTCATGCTGGTCTCGAACTACTGACCTCAGGTGATCTGCCTGCCTCGGCCTCCCAAAGTGCGGCCTCCCAAAGTGCTGGATTACAGGCGTGAGCCACCACCCCCAGGCACTTTTGGTGTTTTTGATGCTTAGCTCTTATGAGATGACCTGGTCCTTTTAAAAAAAGTATCTCTTTTTTTCCCCATTATTTGGAGGTTTGAAGTGAATTTGGCAGGATTCATTAAACACCTTCCAGTGTCTGTCATTTACCACCTCAACACTCAGTGATGACTGCATCCATTTCAACTCTGCACATTCTTTTCTAAGTAGCTTTAACTACGTTAACTCAGTGAAATTCTTATGTCTCTTGGGAGGTTTTCACTACTGCTTAGCTATGAACTATATAACATTTTTATGACACTATCTCTACTGGCATGAGCCATTACTAGGTGGAAATAAGTGAACTCTGTGACCGCCTTGCAGTTCCCATGCTCCAGGGTGCCTCCACATGGGACTACTATAGTGTTGCTAATAATCATAAAATTAAAAGGGCAGGACTTGTGTGGACCTAAAGGGTAGCCCTGGACACTAAGGCCTCAAAGAAAAGGTGGAGCTCGTCCGGGCACACTGGCTCACGCCTGTAATCCCAGCACTTTGGGAGGCCGAGGTAGGTGGATCACAAGATCAGGAGATCGAGACCATCCTGGCCAACATGGTGAAACCCTGTCTCTACTAAAAATACAAAAACTAGCCGGGCGTGGTGGCGTGCACCTATAGTCCCAGCTACTCAGGAGGCTGAGGCAGGAGAATCACTGGAACCCAGGAGGCGGGGATTGCAGTCAGCTGAGATCATGCCACTGTACTCCAGCCTGGGCAATAGAGCAAGGCTCCGTCTGAAAAAATAAAAATAAAAAAAAGAAAAGGAAAAGCTCTGGATTCTGGATTCTGAGTTGTCCTAGAGCTTAAGGGCCTTGATCATTCATTGGACAAAGAGCATGTCAATCTGAAGTTTTCAGCAAATGAGCTTAGGGCTCACTGAGAGCCCCTCGTTGACCCTTCCGGTCCCGCCCCCTGTCTCCTGCCAACCAGAATCTTTCCCGCCTTATCTAAGTCCTCTCAGGCCAGACTTGGTGGGAGGTTCCTAGGATTCGCTCCCTGCCCTTCCCACCTTAGGGTGTCGTCTGAGACAGACTCTTATTTCCTCAATAAAGAGAAAGACTCTTATTCCCTCAGCGGCCAGCTCCTCGCCTCCCCTCGGCCGTAGCCACCTCAGTGGTCACCGTCTTCACCGTGGTCGCCTCAGCCCGCTCGCCACCCCAGTTGAGGCGCTGCTGGTGTCATGTCTGCCACAGGGGACCGACACCCGACCCAAGGGGACCAGGAGGCCCCGGTAAGCCAGGAGGGAGCACAGGCCGAGGCGGCCGGAGCTGGTAACCAGGAGGGCGGCGACTCCGGCCCCGACAGCAGCGACATGGTGCCTGCGGCCGAGGTGGTCGGAGTCGCAGGGCCCGTGGAAGGCCTCGGGGAGGAGGAGGGTGAGCAGGCGGCAGGCCTGGCCGCAGTCCCCCAGGGCGGGAGCGCCGAGGAGGACTCAGATATCGGGCCCGCGACGGAGGAAGAGGAGGAGGAGGAAGAGGGGAACGAGGCGGCCAACTTCGACTTGGCGGTGGCCACCCGTCGGTACCCGGCGGCGGGCATTGGCTTCGTGTTCCTGTACCTGGTCCACTCCCTTCTCCGCCGCCTCTATCACAACGACCACATCCAGATAGCGAACCGTCACCTCAGCCGCCTGATGGTGGGGCCCCACGCTGCTGTGCCCAACCTCTGGGACAACCCTCCCCTGCTGCTGCTGTCCCAGAGGCTGGGTGCAGGGGCTGCAGCCCCGGAAGGCGAGGGCCTCGGCCTGATCCAGGAGGCTGCGTCGGTCCAGGAGGCCGCGTCGGTCCCAGAGCCTGCAGTGCCAGCTGACCTGGCCGAGATGGCCAGGGAGCCCGCGGAGGAGGCCGCAGATGAGAAACCCCCAGAGGAGGCCGCAGAGGAGAAGCTCACAGAGGAGGCCACAGAGGAACCGGCCGCAGAGGAACCGACCTCAGAGGAGGCCGTGGCCCCCGAGGGTAAGGGGGCTAGCGGCAGCAGCGGGGAAGCGGGGATCCATGTGTCCAAGGGCTCTGGGCAGGGCTGCGGTGCGGGCACAGCTGGTGAAGCGGGTGGTGAAGGGGGGTCGGGGCCTCGGGTGGTGAAGCAGGTGTTGGGGCCCTCCTGAAACTTAAGGCTGAATGTGTCCCAGTGAGTCGAAGCCCAATTCTCTAATGACATCTATGGTTTTGAGAAAACTTGCCGCCCTCTACCAACCTATATTTGATAGGAGATCTGAGATCATCGATGCCATTTGCGAGCCTGCAGATGAATGGCCAGGTAGATAGGGGTTCAGGAGGGAGCTCCGCAGGAAACAGAAGGAAAAGAACAGGCAAATGGGAGGCAGGCGTGCTTTTTGGTTCATGGCTTTTCAAAGTGTAAAGATTCGTAGAAAGTTGATCCCCCAAATGATGAAGTGATACAGGAGCACTTGGTAAAAATGAAACATTCAGGGGGTGAGGAACCAATGAGCTTCACCATAGAATTTGTCTTTTGAGGTAAACAAATATTTTCCCAACAAAGTTCTGACCAAAACACCATAGAATGAGATCAGACCCGATGATTCAGATCTCTTCTTCTCCAAAGAACTAGAAATAATCAGCCGCTTTGGGTGGGAGATTTACTGGAAAAAAGGGAAATACAGTGTCCCTGTGGAAATGATCAAGCAGCAGCAACGTGAGGGCCATGGAACTGTTGTGAAAACCAGTAGGAAGGTGCCCAGCTATTCCTTTCTTACTTAACTCTATCCTGCTTCTCCTGAGGGTGGAGTAACTGAATGCCGCTGCTAGTTATAAATTGGGCTATATTTTCTGTGAATGTCTGGTCCCCATGTGTGTATTATTCTTCCCTAAAGAAGTCACTAAATCTCAGCCCGAAAAGTGGGATGAAGAGGCCCAAGATGCTGCAGGCGAGGAAGAGAAAGAACAAGAAAAAGAGAAGGATGTGGAAAACAAGGTGAAGAACTCCAAAGGGACCTAGACGCAGCAGAGGTGAAGCCAAGAAAATCCAGGTATCTGTGTATAGCTTTGAGAATCACTCAACTATTCCTGGCATTTACCTGTTGCAGACAGTTTTATTGAACAACAACAAAAATTCTCAGTAAGTTAAGTAAGAAAAAGTTTAAAATTAGTTTAAAAATTCAATTTAACTTACTTAAAATGTTACGAGAATATTCATGTACCTAGTAATATGAACTGCAGTGTGTTCTGAAATATACTTCTTGGCTACTCATTTGTTCATGTTGAGGTCTTTTGTCCTCTAGCTGCAAGACTACTAACAAGTGGCAGATGTATCAGACCTACTACCAGGACCAATATTTGTGTAGAAAACAGTTGCCAGACACAGCCGCTAACTTGGCTGGGCCACGCATTAGTTGGGCCTTCGTTACTTGACCACAGAAATGCAGGCTCCCGTAGTAACTAGGAGACAACTCAATGCCTTTTACAAAGTGACTACTTAAAAATAGCAAAAAGCTAAGAATTTCAAGTAGGACCACAATGAATGATTAATACCTAGATATTTATTTGGCTATATATTTTGGTATTTTATGTCACAGTCAGATGAAAAGAATGTGTGTTTATCACTGAATTGGTAATGAAGTCTTAAGGTATATCCATCTTTGAGTGTATTTAAATGGTTAACATTTTTCTTTCTTTCTTATTTATTTATTTATTTTGCATTTTCACAGCCGTATATTTCGTAACGGCTTCTTTCCCACATGGTAGATACGGAAACCAAGGGTCTGGGAGGGTAAGGGAGTATTATTTGTGGAACCAGCACAGGCTGTTGAAGCTTGAGAGATTTATTTAAATCCCAGAATGGCCCCTCATGTAAAAACAAAAGCAACAAGCTTTTCTAGTGCTAGGCAGACAAGGTTGGTGTGATCATTTGACTGAAACCTTCAGTTCCACAAGCACCCTGATATCCAAGCTCGTGAGTTACAAAAGGAAAAGATGGGCTTCTCTACTTGTTTAAGATATAGCACACAAATGTTGCAGATATACACAGAGCTGGCCATTTTCTTCTATTTAGAAAGTCACTGGTGCTGGTTAATGTTGTACTATTGTTTATCATCTCTCATTTCATCCCACAGTTGGGAGGAAAAGAAAGAAGACTCTGTTGTTCATTGTTTTTATCTTTTTCTCCAGATGCCTGTGGGAATTGTAACACATATCATTCCAAAGTTCGTTACATCAAAAGTGATATCCAGTGACATCTAACTTTCATGGATGTATGTGACAGTGTTTGTTCAAGTTAAAAATAAAAGTTTGTTTTCAATGAATAAACTGAAACGTGGGAAGATTTTTCAATAAATAATCCTAACTCAAATCTCTCTTTTAAGTCTTTGTTTTGGCCCACCATACCTTCATTGAAAGGTGTTACTTTCCACCACTTGGTAAGACTGTTTGAAATTCTTTTACTGCTGCCAAAAATCAAGTAAAATGACAAGTTTAAAACAATTTTTGGAAAGAGAGAGATGGGGCTCATCTTTAGAGCTGTGTGTTGTGGCTACTGAGCACTTGTCATATGGCTAGTCTGATTTAATATGTGCTGTAAGTGTGAAAATAATATTGCATATCTTACTAATTTTTTTTTTGAGACTGAGTCTCACTCTGTCACCCAGGCTGGAGTGCAGTGGCGTGGTCTCAACTCACTGCAACCTCCGCCTCCCAGCTTCTAGCAATTCTCCTGCCTCAGCCTCCCGAGTATCTGTGACTATAAGCGCCTGCCACCATGCCCAGCTAATTTTTTGTATCTTCAGTAGAGACGGGGTTTCACCGTGTTAGCCAGGATGGGCTCGATCTCCTGACCTCGTGATCCACCCACCTCGGTCTCTCAAAGTGCTGGGATTACAGGTTGAGCCACCACGCCCAGCCTTACTCATGTTTTTTATACTGATTACACATTGAAATAATACTTGAATTAAAATATTAAAGTTTTTGTTGGTTTCTTTGTATTTTTTTAATGAGGCTACTAGAACATTTAAAATTACCCAATGTAGATCACATTATATGTCTATTGGACAATACTGCTCTAGAGCATGGTTTTGAAGAAAACTTCATGGATGGCCCAGGTTGCCTGGAGGCCACATGGTATTGCTGAGCTTGGGCCCAGCCTTTGATCTAAAGCAGTGGTTCTCAAAGTTTTGTTCCCAAACAGCATCATCAGCATTACCTGGGAATTCTCAGACTCCACCCAAGAACTACAGAATCGGAACTCTGGGGGTGGGGGCAGCAATCTGTGTTTTAACACGCCCTCTAAGAGCTTTTGATGAACACTAAAGTTTGAGAACCACTGGTTTCAAGCAACAGAGAAAGAAGTTGAGCTTCACCTCCTGTCAGACCAGCCTTAATTCACTAGCTTGGGTTTGTTTCAGGTAAACTGAAAGGGACAGCAAGGGCTGAGCTGGGGAGGAAAGTAGAACTCACAGGGGCTGAGGCCTAGAGGGGAAAAATGCATAAAGGAAAAAGTCAGGTCCAAAAGGATACAAACATAGTACCATGTATATGACTTCTAGGAAAACATAAAAATGACCACCATAAATTGATTGTGGGTAAGTAGAGAGAGACTAAAAGGTGTGCATGTAAGAGATGCATACAAATGTAGCATACAGAAAAGTGTGCATTCGAAAGACAAGCATATTTGCGGCTGGGCGCAGTGGGTCACCCCTGTAATCCCACCCTCAGGCGGGTGGATCATCTGAGGTCAGGAGTTCGAGATAGGCCTGGCCAACATGGTGAAACCCCATCTCTAATAAAAATACAAAAAATAGCCAGGTGTGGTGGTGCACACCTACAATCCCAGCTGCTCAGGAGGCTGAGGCAGGAGAATCGCTTGAACCTGGGAGGCAGAGGCGGCAGTGAGCCAAGATCGCGCCACTGCACTCCAGCCTGGGTGACAGAGTGAGGCTCCGTCTCAAAAAAAAAAAAAAAAGACAAGAACATTTGAGATGGTGGTTACCTCTCAGAAAGAAAGGGAGGGGCATTCTAGTAGAGAAGGCACCACAGCAGACATCAACTGTATTTGTAATGTTATATTTCTTAAGCTGAATAGTGGATACATGGATGTTTATAGTAATGTTTTCTACAATTTTGTGTAGGTCTGAAATATTTCTAAAGCGGGAGGGGGAAGGGTAGCAGTTCTTCCCACACCATTGGACAGGACTTAGAGGAGTCTGAGAATTCTAGAACCCAACCTGGACTTTGAGGTCATTATGAAGTTACATTTGTCATGGAAGGAGATAAACCATTAAATAAAACATGCTGTATTTGTTGATTTAAACATTTCAAATATTTAGGCATATGGTATGTGGATCCCAAGTTGAACTCTTGTTCTAAACCCCGAAAATGTTACAGGTGAGCCAGGCTCAATATCTGACCTATAACCTCTTTCCCTTCCTCCCTCCGTGCCACTTTGTTACCTGAGCATAGTGGCGCCCCTTGCTTCTGAAAAGCACTTGTTCCAGTAGCCCATCTTGCTATGGGACTTGGACTTCATCCCTGACCCAGGCTAGAGTGCAACCACCAATCACCTTGTCTCTTCTGCTTGCCCCCCCAACCACACCCCTCTCTTTGCTCTCCAGGTGTTCAAACGCAAAACCTCTTCAATGGCCCTTCTCCCTCATACCAAATATCAATGCGCACCTGAAAGCCATCAGCTTGGTCAGGCACACCTGCGTGGACGCCCTTTATTCGCAGCACCACCTCTTAAGAACATTTAATTTCTCTGACAACCTTCAGCTCTGAGTTGTCTCTCCTATTTGATTTCCTTCCCCCTGTTACAGACAGGGAAGGACTACAGAACAGGTTCCATTGTATTTGTCATGTTGCGAAGATCAAGGAAGCTACAAAGAAGCTGAAAACTTGTCAGAATGAGCCTCTGGGTATTTAAAAATGAAATAAGAAAACTTCTTCATTTAAAAACAGAGCTTTGCTCTCGCCTGCCTGCCCGCTCCCTTTCTTGCTCGCGATTTTGCTCGCCCTCTCCTCGAGGATCGAGGGGGTTCTGACCACAGCCTGCGGCTGGGAAGGGAGACAGGCGGCAGCTCAGAGAAAACGAGGCTGCAGTGATGGTGGTAGGAAGATGTCGGACAAGGACAAGCAGCAGGAGCAAACTATCGCCAAGGACCTGGTCGTGACCAAGTATAAGATGGGGGGGGCGACATCGCTAACCAGGTACTACGGTCCTTGGTAGAAGCATCTAGCTCAGGTGTGTTGGTACTGAGCCTGTGTGAGAAAGATGATGCCATGATTATGGAAGAAATAGGGAAAATCTTCAAGAAAAAAATAGAAATGAGAAAAGGTATTGCTTTTCCCACCAGCATTTCAGTAAATAACTGTATATGTCACTTCTCCCCTTTGAAGAGCAACCAGGATTATATTCTCAAGGAAGGTGACTTGGTAAAAATTGACCTTGGGGTCCATGTGGATGGCTTCATCGCTAATGTAGCTCATACTTTTGTGGTTGATGTAGCTCAGGGGACCCAAGTAACAGGGAGGAAAGCAGATGTCATTAAGGCAATTCACCTTTGTGATGAAGCTGTCCTACGCCTGGTCAAACCTGGAAACCAGAACACACAAGTGACAGAAGCCCTGAACAAAGCTGCCCACTCACTTAACTGCACGCCAATAGAAGGTATGCTGTCACATCAGTTGAAGCAGCATGTCATCGATGGAGAAAAAACCATTATCCAGAATCTCACAGACCAGAAGAAGAAGGACCATGAAAAAGCGGAATTGGCGGTACATGAAGTATATGCTGTGGATGTTCTCGTCAGCTCAGGAGAGGGCAAGAGCAAGGATGCAGGACAGAGAACCACTATTTACAAATGAGACCCCTCTAAACAGCACGGACTGAAGATGAAAACTTCACATGCCTTCTTCAGTGAGGTGGAAAAGTGTTTTGATGCCATGCCGTTTACTTTAAGAGCATTTGAAGATGAGAAGAAGGCTCAGATTGGTGTGGTGAAGTGCACCAAACATGAACTGGTGCAAACTATTTAATGTTCTCTATGAGAAGGAAGGTGAATTTGTTGCCCAGTTTAAATGTATAGTTCTGCTGATGCTCGATGGCCTTATGCAGATAACCAGTGGTCCCTTCGAGCCTGACCTCTACAAGTCTGAGATGGAAGTCCAGGATGCAGAGCTAAAGGCTCTCCTCTAGAGTTCTGCAAGTCAAAAAACCCAGAAAAAGAAAAAAAAAAAAAAAAGAAGAAGGCCTACAAGACTGCAGAGAAAGCCACCAGTGGGGAAACATTAGAAGAAAATGAAGCTGGGGACTGAGGTGGGTCCCATCTCCCCAGCTTGCTGCTCCTGCCTCATCCCCTTCCCACCACACCGCAGGCTCTGTGAAGTATAATTCTTCTTCTCCACCTAGGACCACCAGCAGAGCGGGGTCTCCCTGCCCCCATCCCAGTTCCCCAACCCACTCCCTTCCAACAACCAGCTCCAACTGACTCTGGTCTTGGGAGGCAAGGCTTCCCAATCACAGGAGACTAAATGAAAAAAAAGAAATTGAATAATAAAATCAGGAGTCAAAAACTAAAATAAAATAAAAACAGAGCTTTGTTGTTAACTGTGGAAAAGAAATTCTTAATGGAGATTTCTAAAACTGATAATTACCTAATGAGATCCACTGTGAGAAAAGGGAGGAAGGAGTGAAATAGCCACGAGGATTACCTGGATAAAGGGCATCTACCTACATGAACTGTTTGCTATGGGAATGCAAAGCAAATCAAATCCAGTCAATTGAAAACCTAGCATTATCAAAAAGGCAGATATCATATCAGAAAAAAATAGATGTTTTAGGGCTGGGTGCAGTGGCTCACACCTGTAATCTCAGCACTTTGGGAGGCCAATAAGGGAAGATCCCTTGAGTCCAGGAGTTCAAGTCCAGCCTGGGGATTATAGTGAGACCCCTGTCTCTACAAAAAAAAAAAAATTTAATTAGCTGGGCACGGTGGGGCACAACTGTAATCTCAGCTACTCAGAAGGCTGAGGCAGGAGAATCGCTTGAATCTGGGAGGCGAAGGTTACAGTGAACCGAGATCACCCCACTGCACTCCAGCCTGGGTGACAGAGTGAGACTCCATCTCAAAAAAAAAAAAAAAAAAGCACATTGTCCAAACATAAAGATTTTTTTTTATGTCTACAGCAGTGTATCCAGCATCGTGGATGGCCCTTACATGAGAGCAGAAACCTGATAGACCATGATGAGGATTCAAGGAAAAAAGGGATGTGAAGGCCCTATGTAGACAGTCAAGACCTAGGCACGTAGAAAAAAAAAATAACATTAATGGTAACAGTTATTCCAAAACCCATGGGATTTATTTAACAAACATTTACCAAATACCTGCCTTGTGACAGACACCATGGGTGTTAGAAACTTGAGGAAGGCCTAGACATTCCCCTTAAGGGGCCTATGCTTTTGGTGGAGCTAAACAATGTCTACACATATCCCTGTAAATTCAAGATAGCCTCTAGTGAGGGTAGTGATGGGGGGAGATATAGAAAAGAAGGCTTCTTGGAGGTGATGAGTTTTGAGCCAGACTGTAAAGGAGAATTTTAGACATTTTTTTCAGGGGTGTTCTCTGCTACTCCCAAAATTAAATGGTAATCTCTTCAGGTTGTATAGCCTTGGGTCCCTCCCCTATCCCACCCTGTCCCTTGTGATGAGTTTGCACTTTTCTTGACTGACAGAGGAAGTCTGGTGGAGAAAGAAAACACATTTCCCTAAGCAAATCTGAAATTCTGGATTGTGCCAACTTCCTGGTTTGGAGAAGATCAGGTATCATGGGTGGGATATCTAGGGATAAAGATAGGCACCAACTATACACCAGAGATAGGGAATGTGACATCCTGGTTGGGTTTGCATCTACAGGCAGCAGGCTCAGGCAGATAACCAAGGATATGGAGACTGTTCCATGGAATTCTGAATCATATACTTCCCATGAAGAGAGCCCTAATGTGGGAACTAGGAAGAGACTCTTTCTCAGTTTCGCTTCAGGTATTTCTTGAAAGTGAACCTGCTCAGTTTTTTTCCTCCTTTGTTTGCTGGTGCCAACCAGTTCCCCTCCCAGAGACTTGGAGCCAGTTCTAAGCACCTGGTGAGATAGTGTGCTGCCACTGCAACAGAACCATCTCCAGGATCCACTTCACTTCTTTACAACAGCTTGCTCTATGACAAGCCCAGTGCCCAATCCTACCTCCCTGCACAAAGAAGAAGATTCAGGTGCACACTTCTTTGCCAAAAACTTTAATATTGGCAGTAGTCTTTATATTGTGTTTCAGTCCCACTGATAAGTCCAGGAGGCAACTGGAGAAGAAATGATTGCATATAAACTAGAGTCTTGGCAAATATATCAGAATATCAACACTGTATATAGCTGGAAGGCATTGGCTTCCAGAAGTCTTGGCCAAATCCCCTAGAGGGGCACAGGAATGATTGGGGGGAGGCACTAGGATGGGGACCATGGAGAGTTCTGCTCTCTTTGGGTTCTGCATGTCAATCACCAGCTACAAATGACAGTTCCAAAAGACTCAGCATTGGTACATTAGAAAATACCCAATAAATGTGGTAAACATAAATCCATGATTTAATAAATGAAGTTAACCAGTTTACATAAAAAGTAAAGACAAAGGAGGGCACTGATTAGGAAAGAGGAAGAGAATGGTGGCAGAAAGTAGTATCTGTTTGTCCTGGGAGTCAGATCTACTTTTCAGGGTAAAGAACAAACTCCCTAGCATTGTATTCATGACCCCAATGTGATTTTCAGGCCCATTTGCTACTCTGCCCAATGATCTAGCCCTTTCCTTAAACACACACACACACATACACACACACACACACACACACACACACAGACACACACACACACCTCTACCACTGTTCATACTGTTTCCTTTACTTGCAGTGATCTCTCTGCTTTCCCCACCCCTTTACTCCTCGTGATCTTTCAGGAAGTGAAATTCTTCCTCTTGAGCACCTTCCCAAGCACCAACACACCTTCCTCCTCTCTTCCTCCTAACTAATCATTCTTTCTCCTGAAATCCATAGCACTTTATGCTTATCCCTGTTTTGGAACTTGACATCTTATGTCATCCTTGTACAAACATCTATCTTCCCCTCTAGACCATGAACTAGATAGATCAAGGCATGTTCCTTAGGCACCATGAGTATTCACCTTCTAACATGACGTCAAACATATAGTAGGTGCTCAATACATGCTGAGTAAATGACTGAATGGCCAGGGTCTGAAGTGTCTCTCCTGCAGCTTCAAGTGGACAGCTCAGCTCTTCACAACTTGAGAAGATACTTGTGTGGTGTGGTGTGGGGTGGAGTGTGTGTGTGTGTGTGTGTGTGTGTGTGTGTTTTGTAATATCTTAGGTCATCTAAAATGAATAGCAATGGAGCAAAAATGAATGGACAATATTCCCATGTAAAAGAAATGAATTTAGCCACAGACCTTACACCCTTCACAGAAATTAATTTAAAATGGATCATAGACCTAAATGTGAAACACAAAACTATATAAATACTAGAAGATAACTCAGGAGAAGATCTAGATGACCTTGGGTTTGGACATGGCTTTTTACATACAACACCAAAGGCATAATCTATGAAAAAAATAATTGATAAGCTGGACTTCATTAAAATTAAGAATTCCTGCTTTGTGTAAGAAACTGTCAGAGAAATAAAAAGACAAGCTTCAGACCGGGAAAAAATGTTTGCAAAAGATAACTGATAAAAGACTGTTATTCAAAATATACAAAGAACTCCTAAAACTCAGCAATAAGAAAACTACTAACAACTCAATGAAAAAACTACAGGTACAAAATTACAGTTAGGATGTATTAGTCCATTTTTATACTGCTATGAAGAACTGCCTGAGACTGGGTAATTTATAATTTATAAAGGAAGAGGTTTAATTGAATCACAGTTCAGCATGGCTGGGGAGGCCTCAGGAAACTTACAATCATGGTGGAAGGTGAAGGGGAAGCAAGGCACCTTCTTCACAAGGTGCAGGAAGGAGAAGTACTGAGCGAAGGGCGAAGAGCCCCATATAAAACCATTAGATCTCATGAGAACTCACTATCACAAGAACAGCATGGGGGAAACCACCCCCATGATTCAATTACCTTCACCTGGTCTCCCCTTGACATGTGGGGATTATGGGGATTACAATTCAAGATGAGATTTGGGCGAGAACACAAAGCCTAACCATATCATAGGAAGAATAAGTTCTGTTATTTTAATACACAGTAGGGTAACTAGAGCAAATAACAATGTAGTGCATATTTCAATATTGCTAGAAGAGATTTTTAATGTTATCACCGCAAAGAAATAATAAATGTTTAAAGTAGTGAATATACAACTAAAAGAACTAGAGAACCAAGAGTGAACCAATCCCAAAGCTAGCAGAAGACAAGCAATAATCAAAATCAAAGATGAACTGAAGGGGATTGAGATGAAAAAAAATTCAAAAGATCAACAAATCCGAGAGTTGGTTTTTTGAAAAAATTAATAAAATACATAGCCTACCATCTAGACTAATAAAGAAGAAAATAGAACCAATTAAACACAATTAGAAATGACAAAGGGTATACTACCCCTGGCCCCAAAGAAATACAACCATCGGAGAATATTATGAACACCTCTATACACACAAACTAGAAAATCTAGAAGAAATGGATAAATTATTGGACACATACACCCTCCACAGACTGAACCAGGAAGAAATTGAATCCTTGAATAGAACAATAATGAGCTCCAACATTGAATCAGTAATAAGTAGCCTACCGACCCCCAAAAAAACCCAGGACCAGACTGATTCACAACTTAATTCTACCAGATGTACAAAGAAGAGCTGGTGTGATTCCTACTGAAACTATTTCCAAAATTTGAGGAGAAGAGACTCCTCCCTAACTCATTCTATGAGGCCAGCATCATTCTGATACTAAAAACCTAGCAGACACAACAAAACAAGAAAACTTCAGGCCAATATTCTTGACGAACATCAACAAAATAATGGCAAACTGAACCCAGCAGCACATCAAAAACCATATCCACCATGATTGAGTAGGCTTTGTGCCTGGATGCAAGCTTGGTTTAACACACACAAATCAATAAATGTGATTCATCACATAAACAGAACTAAAGACAAGAACCACATGATTATCTCAATAGATGCAGAAATGGCTTTCAATTAAATTCAATACCCCTTCATGTTAAAAACTCTCAATAAAATAGATCTTGAAGGAAGATACATCAAAATAATAAGAGCCATATATCTCAAATCTACAGCCAATATCAGACTGAATGGGCAAAAGCTGGTGTATTCTCCTTGAAAATCAGCACAAGACAAGGATGCCCTCCCTCTCTCACCACTCCTATTCAACATAGTATTAGAAGTTCTGGCCAGAGCAATCAAGCAAGAGAAAGGAAGACACTGTGGCGATTCCTCAAGGATCTAGAACTAGAAATACCATTTGACCCAGCAATCCCATTACTGGGTATATACCCAAAGGATTATAAATCATGCTGCTATAAAGACACATGCACACGCATGTTTATTGCAGCACTATTCACAATAGCAAAGACTTGGAACCAACCCAAATGTCCATCAATGATAGACTGGATTAAGAAAATGTGGCACATATACACCATGGAATACTATGCAGCCATAAAAAAGGATGAGCTCATGTCCTTTGTAGGGACATGGATGAAGCTGGAAACCATCATTCTCAGCAAACTATCGCAAGGACAGAAAACCGAACAACACATGTTCTCACTCATAGGTGGGAATTGAACAATGAGAACACTTGGACACAGGAAGGGGAACATCACACACTGGGGCCTGTCATGGGGTGGGGGGAGCGGGGAAGGAAAGCATTTGGAGATATACCTAATGTAAATGACAAGTTAATGGGTGCAGCACACCAACATGGCACATGTATACATGTGTAACAAACCTGCACGTTGTGCACATGTACCCTAGAACTTGAAGTATAATAAATTTAAAAAAAAAGAAAGAAATGGTATCCAAAATAGGAAGAGAGAAAGCGAAACTATCCCTGTTTTCAGACAATATGATCTTTTATCTAGGAAACCCCACAGTCTCAGCCCAAAAGCCCCTTCAGTTGATAAAAACTTCAGCAAAGTCTCAGGATACAAAATTAATGTACAAAAATCACTAGAATTCCTATACACCAACAGCAGTGAAGCTGAGAGCCAAATCAGGAATGCAATCCCATTCACAACTGACACAAAGAGAATAAAATATTATACCTAGGAATACAGCTAACCAGGAAGGTGAAATCTGTACAAGGAGAACTACAAAACACTGCTCACAGAAATCAGAGATGACACAAACAGAAAAACATGCCATGCTTATGGATAGGAAAAATCAATATTGTTATAATGGCCATACTGCCCAAAGCAATGTATAGATTCAATGCTATTTCTACCAAACTACCACTGACATTCTTCACAGAACAACAAAAAACTATTTTAAAATTCATTTGGAACCAAAAAAGCCTAAATAGCCAAGGCAATCCTAAGCAAAAAGAACAGAGCTGGAGGCATCATGCTCTCCAACTCCACAGGGCTATGGTAACCAAAACAGCATGGTACTGATACAAAAACAGACACATAGACCAATGGAACAGAATAGAGAGCCCAGAAATAAGGCTGCACATCTACGACTATCAGATTTTCGACAAAACTGACAAAAAATAAGCAACGGGGAAAGCATTTCCTATTCAATAAATAGTGCTGGGAGAACTGGCTAGCCATATGCAGAAGATTGAAACTAGACCCCTTTCTGGCCGGGTGTGGTGGCTCATGCATGTAATCCCAGCACTTTGGGAGGCCAAGGCGGGTGGATCACAAAGACAGGAGATCGAGACCATCCTGGCTAACATGGTGAAACCCATCTCTACTGAAAATACAAAAAATTAGCCGGGCATGGTGGCTGGTGCCTGTAGTCCCAGCTACTCGGGAGGCTGAGGCAGGAGAATGGTGTGAACTCGGGAGGCAGAGCTACAGTGAGCGGAGATCACACCACTGCACTCCAGGCTGGGCGACAGAGCAAGACTCCATCTCAAAAAAAAAAAAAAAGGAAACTAGACCCCTTTCTTACACTGTATACAAAAATAAACTCAAGATAGACTAAATACTTAAATGTAAAACCCCAAACTATAAAAACCCTGGAAGACAACCCAGGCAATACCATTATGGATATCAGAACAGGCAAACATTTCATGACGCAGATGCCAAAAGCAATTGCAACAAAAGCAAAAATTGGCAAATGAGATCTAACTAAACTAAAGAACTTCTGCTCTGCACAGCAAAAGAAACTATCAACAGAATACACAGACAATCTACAGAATGGGAAAAAAATTTTGCAGACTGTATATCTGACAAAGGTCTAACATCCAGCATCTATAAATAACTTAAACAAATTTACAAGAAAGAAACAACCACATTAAAAAGTGGGCAAAAGACAGGAACAGACACTTTTCAAAGGAAGACATACACGTGGCCAAAAAACACAGGAAAAAGGCCAACATCACTGATCATTAAAGAAATGCAAATCAAAACCACAATGAGATACCATCTCATACCTGTCAGAATGGCCATTGCTAAAAAATCAAAAAAATAGATGCTGACAAGGTTGGGGAGAAAAGGAAATGCTTATATTCTGTTGCTGGGAGTGTAAATTAGTTCAACTATTGTGAAAAGCAGTGTGGCAATTCCTCAAAGAGCTGAAAACAGAACTACCATTTCACCCAGCAATCCCTTTACTGAGTATTCACCAAAAGAAATATAAATCATTCTATTATAGAGACACATGCACATGTGTATTCATTGCAGCATTATTCACAATAGCAAAGACATGGAATCAACCTAAATACCCTTCACTGGAAGACTAGGTAGAGAAAATGTGGTACATATACACCGTGGAATACAATACAGCCATAAAAAGAATGAGATCATGTCCTTTGCAGGAAAATGGATGAAGTTGGAGGCCACTATACTTAGCAAACTAACGCAGGAACAGAAAATCAAATACTTTATGTTCTCACTTATACAGGGGAGCTAAGTGATGAGAACACATGGACACATAGAGCGGAACAACAGACACTGGAGCCTAAGAGGGTGGAGGCTGGGAAGAGGAAGAGGATCAGGAAAAATAACAAAGCGTACTAGGCTTAATACATGGGCGATGAAATAATCTGTACAATAAAACCCCACGACATGGGTTTATTAATAAACCTGCACATGTACCCTTGAACTTAAAAATTGAAAAATAAATAAAAATAAAAATAAAAAGTTATGTTTCTAATTGAGTTTATTTGGATTTTCTCTCTTCATTTCTTGGTTAGTCTCGCTAATGTTCTATCAATTTTGTTTATCTTTTCAAAGAACCAGCTTTTTGTTTCGTTTATCTTTTGTATGTTTTTGTTTCAATTTCACTTAGTTCTGCTCTGATCTTTGTTATCTCTTTTCTGCTGCTGGGTTTGGGTTTGGTTTGTTCTTGTTTCTCTAGTTCCTTGAGGTGTGACCTTAGATTGTCTATTTGTGCTCTTTCAGACTTTTTTTATGTAGGCATTTAATTCTATGAACTTTCCTCTTAGCACTGCTTTTTCTGTATCCCAGAGGTTTGGATAGGTTGTGTCACAATTATCGTTCAGTTCAAGTAATTTTTAAATTTCCATCTTGATTTCATTGTTGACCCAATGATCATTCAGGAGCAGGTTATTTAATTTCCATGTATTTGCATGGTTTGCAGCGTTTCTTTTGGAGTTGATTTCCAGTTTTATTCCATTGTGGTCTGAGAAAGTACTTGACGTAATTTTGATTTTCTTAAATTTACTGAGACTTGTTTTGTAGGCTATCATATGGTCTATCTTGGAGAATGTTCCATGTGCTGATGAACAGAATGTATATTCTGCAGTTGTTGGG
The DNA here is from genome assembly GCF_000001405.40 of Homo sapiens. Lineage (NCBI taxonomy): Eukaryota > Metazoa > Chordata > Mammalia > Primates > Hominidae > Homo > Homo sapiens. Next base: position 259,985 of record NW_021160027.1, on the reverse strand, counting down.
CATAATGTTCTATAGGTAGCTGTTAAGCCCATTTGCTTTAGGGTATAGTGTAAGTTCACTGTTTCTTTGTTGACCTTCTGTCTTGATGACCTGTCTAGTGCTGTCGTTGGAGTATTGAAGTCCCACAATATTATTGTATTGCTATCTCATTTCTTAGGTCTAGTAGTAATTGTTTTATAAATTTGGGAGCTCCAGTGTTAAGTGCATATATATTTAGAATTGTGATATTTTCCTGTTGACTAGTCCTTTTATCATTATATAATGTCCCTCTTTGTTTCTTTTTAACTGCTGTTGCTTTAATGTTTGTTTTGTCTGATACAAGAATAGCTACTCCTGCTCACTTTTGATATCCATTTGCATGGAATATCTTTTCCCACCTTAAGTTTATGTGAGTCCTTATGTGTTAGGTGAGTCTCCTGAAGAAGGCAGCAACTTGGTTGGCGAATTCTTATCCATTCTGTTATTCTGTATCTTTTAAGTGGAGTGTTTAGTCCATTTACATTCAATGTTAGTATTGAGATGTGACGTACTATTCTATTCATCATGCTATTTGTTGCCTGAACACATTGGTTTTTTAAAGTGTGTTTTTGTTATATAAGTCCTGTGAGGTTTATGCTTTAAGGAGGTTCTATTTTGGTGTATCTTGAGGATTTATTTCAAGATTTAGAGCCCCTTTTAGCAGTTCTTGTAGTGCTGGCTTGGTAGTGGTGAATTCTCTCAGCATTTGCTTGTCTGGAAAAGACTGCATCTTTCCTTCATTTATGAGGCTTACTTTCACTGGATACAAAATTCTTCACTGATAATTGTTTTGTTTAAGGAAGCTGAATATAGAACCCCAATCACTTCTAGGTTATAGGGTTTCTGCTGAGAAATCTGCTGTTAATCTGATAGGTTTTCCTTTATATGTTACCTGATGCTTTTGCCTCACAGCTTTTAAGGTTCTTTCCTTCATCTTGACTTTAGATAACCTGATGACTATGTGCCTAGGCAATGATATTTTTACCATGAATTTCCCAGGTGTGCTTTGAGCTTCTTGTATTTGGATGTCTAGATCTCTAGCAAGGCCAGTGTTAGTTCATTTTCATGCTGCTGATAAAGACATACCTGAGACTGAGCAATTAAAAAAAAGGTGGGGGGGGGTAATGGACTTACAGTTCCATGTGGGGGGAAGCTTCACAATCATGGTGGAAGGCTAGGCAGAGCAAGCCATGTCATACATGGATGGCAGCAGGCATAGAGAGAGAACTTGTGCAGGGTAACTCTTCTTTATAAAACCATCAGATCTCATGAGACTCATTCATTAGCACAAGAACAGCATGAGAAAGACTTGCCCCCATGATTCAGTTACCTATCACCAGGTCCCTCCCACAACACCTGGGAATTCAAGATGAGATTTCGATGGGGACATAGCCGAACCATATGAGCCAGGAAAGTTTTCCTCAATTATATCCTCAAATATGTTTTCCAAACCTTTGGATTTTTCTTCTTCCTCAGAAATACCAATTATTCTTAGGTTTGGATGTTTAACGTAGTCCCAAAGTTCTTGGAGGCTTTGTTCATTTTTTAAAATTCTTTTTTCTTTGTCTTAGACAGTTTGGGTTAATTCAAAAGCCTTGTCTTCGAGTTCTGAAGTTCTTTCTTCTGCTTGTTTGATTCTATTGCTGAGACTTTCCAGTGCCTTTTGCATTTCTCTAAGTGTGTCCTTCATTTCCAGAAATTGTGACTGTTTTTTATTTATGCTCTCTATTTCACTGAAGAATTTTCCTTTCATATCCTGTATCAAGTTTTTGATTTATTTAAGGTGGAGTTCACCTTTCTCTGGTGCCTCCTTGATTAGCTTAATAATTGACCTTCTGAATTCTTTTTCTGGCAATTCAGAGATTTCATCTTGGTTTGGATCCATTGCTAGTGAGCTGAGTATGATCTTTTCAGGGAGTTAAAGAACCTTGTTTTGTCATATTACCAGAATTGTTTTTCCGGTTCCTTCTCATTTGGGTAGACTGTGTCAGATGGAAGATCTGGTATTCAAGGGCTGCTGTTCAGATTCTTTTATCCCACAGGATGCTCCCTTGATGTGGTGGTCTCACTCTTCCCATAGGAATGGGGATTCCTGAGAGCTGAACTGTAGTGATTGTCTTTCTTTTTCTGGGTCTAGCCATCCAGTGGACCTACCAGGCTCTCGGCTGGTACTGAGGAGTGTCTACAAAGAGTCCTGTGATGTTATCCATCTTCAGGTCTTGCAGCCATGGATACCAGCACCTGCTCCAGTGGAGGCAGCAGGGGAGTGAAGTAGACTCTGTGAGGTTCCTTGGTTGTGTTTTTGTTTCATGCACTGGTTTTGTGTTGGCTAGCCTTTAGCCAGGAGGTGGCGCTTTCAAGAGTGCATCAGTTGCGGTCCTACAAGGAGGATGCAAACTTGCCCTAGGGACACCTGGTTAAGTATTCAGGTTTCTCAGGTGCTGGGCGGGGCCATAGAGCTCCCAAGAGATTATGACTTTTGTCTTTGGCTACCAGGACAGGTAGAGAATGACCACCAGGTGGGGTCAGGGATTGACGTGTCTGAGCTCAGCCTCTCCTTGGGCAGGGCTTGCTGAGGCTGCTGTGGGGGATGGGAGTTGAGTTTAGTTCACAGTCCAGTGGAGTTATATTCCTAGGGGGATTATGGCTGCCTCTGCTGAGTCATACAGGTCACCAAGGAAGTGGAGGAAAGTCACAGGCCTCATCCTACTCCCTCACAGCCCGCAGTCCTAAAGGCCAGTCTCACTCCCACTGTTCCTCCCCAACAACACTGAGCCTATTTTCAGGCAGCCAGTGACCAGGACTGAGTACTTGCCCTGGACCACAAACCTCCTCATTGAGAAGGCAAGCAGACTTACAGTTTTTCAGCATCTCAGGGAGCCTGCAGCATTGATCCAGTTCCTTCAAATGGTCTGTGGATTCTCTCTCCTTTGCTGGTATGTTCCTGTGGTAGTTCTTGGAGCAAAAGTTCACAATGTGAGTCTCCACATGCTGCTCTCTCTGTCCAAGCGGGAGCTGCAAGCTAGTCCTGCCTCCTATCTGCCATGTTAATCCAACACTTATATTTTGTCTTTTTGATAATTGCTATTCTGATAGGTGTGAAGTGTTATCTCCTTGTAGTTTAATTTGCAATGAAAACCAAAAGTAAACAAATAGGATTACATCAAATTAAAAAAGCTTCTGCACAACAAAGGAAACAATTAACAGAGTGAAGAGGTCACCTAAAGACTGGACAAGAAATGTTTCAAAGCCATACATCTGGTAAGGATATATAAGAAACTCAAAACAATAGCAAGAAAACAAATAACCCAATTAAAAATGGGCAAAGGATCTGAATATACATTCCTCAAAAGAAGACATATAAATAGCCAACAAATAGATGAAAGAAATGTTCAACATCACTAATCATGAGGAAGAATATCTTGACTGTGGAGACAAAACACTGGACTAAATAATCAAAATAGTGTGTAAAGCCCTTGAAGAAGAGATAAGATGACTACTTATCTTAAAGAGACTAAATATTTACCTGCCTGTATGCAGGAGCTGTATCAGAAGATAGCTTCAGATTCTGTCAGCCTCATGACTCCATCATTTCTAATGCCCATTTTAATAGTTTGCTCCTCATGCACATGGGGTGTGTATATATCACAGAAAATCTGGGGGAAAAATAGTTGAATCCACAGGGAAGAAACACACACGCACACACAAACGAGTTTGTTTAACTGGATCTTTCACTTTTAGTCACATGGACATCATGCGAGTGCAGCATATAAATGTGTTTTGGTCAGAAAAGGACACAGAACTTACAAAAGACCAGAAAGTGTGAAGAGATATAACCACAGTATCAGGAGGAAGATAAAATTTCAACAAAATAATTATTAAAGGGGTTGTGGGGAAAGAACACTTTTTAGTCAGAATTTTCAATGCTAAGTACAAAGGTGAATGAGCACATAAAAAACCAATGCATTATGTTATGTTTTTATCCTTTGCCCACATTCTGGACACATTTAAGCCAAAAAATAACCATTTCCTTTCTTAAAGCTGTACTATATTAACATAATCTTGAGTGTGGCCCTAAAAAGGCAAACAGGTGGAGCCACATCATTGTAAAACATGACAGCCTCGACCAATTCGTCAAATTGATATCACTTCAAAAGAAAGGCAAGAATACAGGACCATCATGGGAAGCAAAGAGACCATGCTGCTGTGATTCAATAGGATTTTCATCTCCAACTTCAAAAGGCTCCATTAATCTCCTAACCATCTATCTAGGCTTTAAGGAGAAGGAAATGGAGAGTTTTGAACATGAATTTTCTGCTCCTACCTATTGCTCCCAGTGACACAGGAGACAGAAATAAACATTCTTCCAGGAGACCCGGAAGAAACTCACCCATGCCAATGGAATGGAGTGGGGAAAGGTTAGAGTTTACACTGTGACAGGAATATGAATGAGATATCTCTGAATCAAGGCTATTGGATAGTCCCTGAGCCTCTGTTTTCTGTGATGTGTGATGGCAATATTAGACTGTGTCCTCTGCATCCCATTTGTAGAATTTCTCGCCCACAAATCCAGTTGGTTTCTAAGTAATTTATATGTGTAATGTATTTGCTTGTAAAATACAAACTTGATGACTTACCTACAATTTATCACTCTTCTTTATGGTCATGCTCAGCCTAATCAGCTGACCACCCAGCAGTGTATACTATACATTTATCAAGCACTTAGCCCTGGGCCTAATGAGCACTAGGAGCTGGAAGAGCTCAGGTGAGAAACTGAAGGCCCCTGTTCACTCTACAGTTTTTGCCAATGGGCTTTTTCTATTTAGGTCTGTGACTGATTATCTAAGCAAAATGGAGTTCCAAGGTAGTAGAGCTAATTTTTGTAATATATAGTTAGAGTTTTGACCTGCTCCTGGGCAGCCATGCTTAAAATGAACACCAGTGGTCCAAAGATGTTAAGAAAGAAAAGGCAATAGTGTTGGGATTGTTCACAGTGTGATCCCAGGCCCACCTGCATCACAATCACAATCAGAGGTGAGTATTAAACCTACAGATTCCTGGGTTCCACCCCAGACCTGCTGAATCAGAACCTATAGATTGGAGCCCAGGGAGCTGAATGATAATAAGCTCCACCAAGTGACTTTGATGCTCACCAACATTCAGGAATCACTAGCTTAGTGCAAACTCATCCCCACAGCTAGGAAACAACTCGTAAGTGTGCACAGCATTCTAGCGTGGAATCTCCTCAGTGGGACCTCCAGATCTCAATCAATCAACTAAAAAGTATTTCACTGCCCAAATACATACATGATTCTCTCAGTGAACCTCGGTTTCCTTTCTCTAAAACAAAGATAATAATAGCACCTACCTCTTACAGGCTGTGGAGAAAATTAAATGATGTACATGTACAAAGCTTCACACACTGCCTAGCACATGATAAATCATTCAATACATCTTAGTAATTCTAATAAGAAAATATTCAAGTTCCTTAGTGAAACCTTTCCAGTTTGTATGTACCCACATTGTTTCATTTCCTGCCTCAACCTCCTACCTAAGAATGTATACTCCAGACAAACAAAACCAACTGGAGTTTCCTCATACACTATGCTACTTTTTTTTTTTTTTTTTTTTTTTGAGAAGGAGTCTCGCTCTGTCGCCCAGGCTGGAGTGCAGTGTCACAATCTCGGCTCACTGCTACCTCTGCCTCCTGGGTTCACGCCATTCTCCTGCCTCAGCCTCCTGAGTAGCTGGGAATATAGGCACCCGCCACCATGCCCGGCTAATTTTTTGTGTGTATTTTTAGTAGAGATGGGTTTTCACAGTGTTAGCCAAGATGGTCTCCATTTCCTGACCTTGTTATCCACCCGCCTCGACCTCCCAAAGTGCTGGGATTACAGATGTGAGCGACCGCGCCCAGTCACAATATGCTACTCTTTATCTCCACACTGTTGCTTATGCCCCTTCTTTTGCCTGGATGCAGCTCCTTGACTTAGAAAGCTCATACTTGATCTTCAAGGCCTAAATCATTGGCATATTCTCTAGGAAGCATTTATTAGACCCCTGAGCCTAAGTTAGGAGACTCTTTTCTTTGTTCTCTCAGCACTCTTTACCTCTTTATGCCTATCTTTCCCCTATTAGAGAGCAAGCTCTTTAAAGTCATGGACGATGGGTATTTTCGGTTTTTTCCCTATATGCCCTTTTTGTTGCCAGTAATTTTAAAACATTCAGAAGAGTACAGAGAATAATAAAACAATCACCCAGTTTTTTAACTTTCACAAGTAACCACTATTAACCTTTTGGCACTTTTACTTCCAGTTTTTCCACACTTAAAAATAACTTATAAAAATACCGTTTATTATTTCAGAATAGAATATTATAGGTAAAGCCAAAAGCCCCCTTGACCTCCACCCCCATGCTCTATCCCTTCACTGCTTTTCCAAAGGTAACCAAACAGTAATATGAGTTTGATGTGTAGCCTTCCAATCTTTTTGTATACATCTACAGACATAACCTATATCCATATAAAATATACAGTATTGGTTTGCACATTTTCCCAAATATCATGTGGCTGTGTACATCATTCTGCCACTTGCTTCTTTCACTCAAAAGTGTTTATGAAATATATCCATGATGATAGATATATCTAGGTAATTCACTTTAATTGCTTTCCATTATATGGATGTACCCCCATTTTAACCATTTTTGTCCCTATTGATGGACATTTAGATTGTTTCCAAGATCTTGCTATTATGAAAAATTTATCATGAAATTTATGATGAAGTGCTTTACTACATGCCTATGTGTATGCATGTGTGTTACTCTAGTAAAAAGACTTAGAAGTAAAACTGCTGGATTATAGGGTATGTGAATTTTTTTAAGAGACACTGACAAATTGCTCTACAATGTGGCTGTACTGACTTTTACTCCCATCAGCATTGTTCAAGAGTTTCATTTCCCTATCTCCTTACCAACACTTGCTATTGTCAGCCTTTTAAATTTTGCCAATATTATCAGAGAAAAGAGATATTTCATTACTGTTTTTAACCATCTTATTAACCTCTGTGTCCTCAGCTCCTAGCAAGTATTTGGCACATGTTGATTGCTTGGTAAATATTTGCTCATCTCTACTTTTGATAATGTCACATGTGGGTACCAGCTCTGGCCTGCTGATACTTCAGAACACAGCTAAGTGTCTCCTTTCAGCAAGAACCGGAGGGAGATCCCAGTTTCCTTACCTCTAAGCAAACCTGTGAGGAAAAGATAAAGTGAAAAAATGTAGGTGATACAACTTTCTTTAGCAGTTTATCATTAGCTGATATGGTTTGAATGTTTTGTTCCCTCCAAATCTCATGTTGATATGTGACCTCCAATGTTGTTGGTGGGCCTGGTGGGAGGTGTTTAGGTCATGGGAACAGGTTTCTCATGAATGGCTTAGCACCATCTTCTTGGTGATGAGTGAGTTCTTTCTCAGGTAGTTAGCATGAGGTCTGGTTGTTTAAAAAAATCTGTGACCCACCCCCTTTCTGTCTTGCTCCCTCACTTGCCATGTGATATACCTGCTCCTTCTTTGCCTTGTGCCATGACTGTAAGCTTCCTGAGGCCCTCACCAGAAATGAATGCCATCACCATGCTTCCTGTACAGCCTACAGAACTGGGAACCAAAATAAACCTCTTTCTTTATAAATTACCCAGTCTCAGGTATTCCTTTATAGCAACGTAAATGGACTAATACGTTACCTAACATGGCATTCACTAAATGATTCTTGATCTCTGGATCAATCATCTTTCACAATCAGTAAGGTTAGTGTCTAGCTCCTTCCACCTAGAAGTTAAGGACACATCAGAAAAGACAACAGGAGTGGGAAGCAGCGTGTCTGTTCCCCAGTGGCTCTGTTGCACCAGTGAAAAGGAAACAGGTAGAAGGAATGGTTTAGCTTTCTAGTGGTTGCTCCAAAGTTAATTATTATAGATACTATCTGTTCATGAAAACCTGTTTCCTTTTCCTTAGAATGGCCATGTATCTGGACCATATTTGCCAGTATCCCCTATAGTTAGTTATATTCATGTGATTAATTTTTGCCCAATGGATTATGAACCAAAGTGATATGTATCATCTCCAATCCTGCTCTCCTATATAATATTCTCCATGTTCTTTTTTTCCTTCTAGTTGACTGGAATAAAAACAGAGCCTAGAATGCCATGTTAAAGATGGCATTGCCATAAGATGAAAGGAGTTTCAGTCCCTGAATCATTATTTGAAGAAGTGATATGCCTAGCATTTACTCTAACTAATACAGTAATATCCCTAGACTGGCAAATCTTTTCAGAAACACAAATAATCCAGCATTTACTATCTCCAAGTAAGGGTAGTTCATATTTTTTTCGGACAAGAGACAGAATTGGCAACATCACTGTTAGGGTAATTCTTAGCTAGTTTCACAACATGGAAAACAACAAAGCACAATTGTTATATCTACCAGTGCAAATGCTATACAACAACCATTTTTAAATTACCAAAAGATTTCAGGGCTGAAATAAACATCATTATTGTAGGAAAAAAAACAAACTGATCTAATCAGCCCTGGTGCCTAGTCAAGTTAAAAAAAAAATGAAAGAGGAAGACATTATTAGCAAGTCTCCAGTACAACTGGTAGGCATGAATTTAGTTTGATAGTGTCATAAGTGAACAGTACTCAATGAAAGCCTACACTGCATTTCTCAGCAGAAAGGCTTCAGGCTGCTAAAGTACCTAGAGACTCTCAGGGGATCATGGCGGATGGGATGCAGGACTAGATTGCAGCTCCAATTCGGATGGACAGAGCAGCATGTAGAGGCTCGCATCATGAGTTTTTGCTTCAGAACGACTGCAGGAACAAATCAGGAAACCTGAGAGGACCTACAGACCCCCTGAAAGAAGCAGATTGCTCCTGCAAGACCTGGGAGACAACCCAAATACTGTGAGTGCCCAAACTGAAGAGGTGGGAAAGGGAGATCATCCGCCCCCGAACACACATCCCTACTGGGGAAACTGAAGGCCTAGATTTTGACCTAGAAAAGATTTTGATCTTACCTTTAGCTGAGTCAATTCAGAGAGCTGAGCGAAATCCAGAGGTAGAGGAAGCAACAGGAAGAGCCCTGGGAGCTCACCGGGTTCCCTAGCAAGCCATTTTTGTCTGGCCTCACAGGGGCCCTTCAAGAGGGTGGCCAGAGGCACCGGGAAAAGACCACAGGGAGAAGAAAATCCCCAGCTAAACTCTGTAACAATTTGAACTGTTTGAGAAGCCTCCTGGCCAGAACTCAGGGGAGGGCATGAATCCAGTGTGCAGACTCCACAAGCAAGGAAGAAGAAAAGACACATTTGCTTTCACAGTTGGGAGGAGGGTAACCTGGGGCAAGTTCTCAGCCCTGCTTGCCCACTACCTGGAAACAGACTTGGTGCTGTTGGGCGGGGGGTGGGCACGGTGGAAGTGAGACCAGCCCTTCGGATTGTGTGGGAGCTGGTTGAGGCCTGTGACTGCTGGCTTTCCCCCACTTCCCTGACAACCTGCATGACATAGTAGAGACAGTCATAATCCTCCTAGAAACATAACTCCATTGACCTGAGAACCTCATCCCCATCCCCCACAGCAGCCACAGCAAGATCCGCCCAAGGAGAGTCTGAGCTCAGACAGCGCCTAGCACTGCCCCAACACAGCGGTCCTTCCCTACCCACCCTGGTAACTGAAGACAAAGGACATATACTCTTGGGAGTTATAGGGCCCCGCCCACCACCTGTTCCTCCCCATGCTACCACAGCTGATGCTCTCTGGAAAGCACAACCTCCTAGCAGGAGGTCAACCAGCACAAAAACAGTGCATTAAACTACCAAAGCTAAGAATCCTCACAGAGTCCATTTCACACCCCTGCCACCTCCACCAAAACAGGTGCTGGTATCCATGGCTGAGAGACCCACAGATGGTTCATATCACAGGACTCTGTGCAGACAACCCTTAGTACCATCCCAGAGCCTGGTAGACTTGCTGGGTGGCTAGACTCAGAAAAGAGAGAATAATCACTACAGCTCAGCTCTCAGAAAGCCACAACCATAGGAAAAGGGGGAGATTACTACATTAAGGGAACACCCCATGGGACAAAAGAATCTGAACAACAGCCTTTAGCCCTAAACCTTCCCTCTGACAGAGCCTGCCCAAATGAGAAGGAACCAGAAAACCAACTCTGGTAATATGACAAAACAAGGCTCTTTAACACTCCCAAAAAATCATACTAGCTCACCAGTAATGGACCCAAACCAAGAAGAAATCCCTGATTCACCTGAAAAAGAATTCAGGGGTTAGTTATTAAGCTAATCAGGGAGGCACCAGAGAAAGGCAAAGCCCAATGCAAGGAAATCCAAAAGATGATACAAGAAATGAAGGGAGAAATATTCAAGGAAATAGATAGCATAAATAAAAAACAATCAAAATTTCAGGAAACAATGGGCACACTTATAGAAAGGCAAAATGCTCTGGAAAGTCTCAGCAATAGAATTGAACAAGTAGAAGAAAGAAATCCAGAGCTCAAAGACAAGGTCTTCAAATTAACTGAATCCAACAAAGACAAAGAAAAAAGAATAAGAAAATAGGAACAAAGCCTCCGAGAAATCTGTGATTATGTTAAATGATCAAACCTAAGAATAATCAGTGTTCCTGAGGAAGAAGAGAAATCTAAAAGTTTGGAAAACATATTTGGGGGAATAATTGAGGAAAATGTCCCCAGCCTTGCTAGATACCTAGACATCCAAATACAAGAAGCACAAAGAACACCTGGGAAATTCACTGCAGAAAGATCATCTCCTATGCACATTGTCATCAGGTCACCTAAAGTTATGATGAAGGAAAGAATCTTAAGAGCTGTGAGATGACAAAAGCACCGGGTAACCTATAAAGGAAAACCTATCAGATTAACAGCAGATTTCTCAGCAGAAACCCTACAAGCTAGAAGGGATATCTTCAGCCTCCTCAAACGAAACAATCATCAGCCAAGAATTTTGTATCCAGTGGAACTAAGCTTCATATATGAAGGAAAGTCTTTTTCAGGCATGCAAATGCCAAGAGAATTTGCCACTACCAAGCTACCACTACAAGAACTGCTAAAAGGAGCTCTAAAACTTGAAAGAAATCCTGGAAACACATCAAAACAGAACCTCTTTAAAGCATAAACCTCACAGGACCTATAAAACAAAAATGCAATTCAAAGAACAAAAACCTAAAACAAAAAACCAAGGTGTACAGGCAACAAATTGCACGATGAATGGAATGGTACCTCACATCTCAATACTAACATTAAAGGTAAAGGGCCTAAATGCTCCACTTAAAAGATACAGAATTGGCTGGGCACGGTGGCTCACTCCTGTAATCTCAGCACTTTGGGAGGCCGAGGCAGGCGGATCACTAGGTCAGGAGATCAAGACCATCCTTGCCAATGTGGTGAAATCCCGTCTCTACTAAAAATACAAAAATTAGCCGGGCATGGTGGTGTGCACCTGTAGTCCCATCTACTTGGGAGGTGGAGGCAGGAGAATTGCTTGAACCCGGGAGGAAGAGGTTGCAGTGAGCCAAGATCGTGCCATTGCACTTCAGCCTGGGCGACAGAGCGAGACTCCATCTCAAAAGAAAAAGGATACAGAATTGCAGAATGGATAAGAATTCACCAACCAACTATGTGCTTCCTTCAAGAGACACACCTAACACATAAGGACTCACACAAACTTAAGGTACAGGGGTGGAAAAAGACATTTCAGGCAAATAGATACCAAAAGCAAGCAGAAGTAGCTGTTCTTATATCAGACAAAACAAACTTTAAAGCAACAGCAGTTAAAACAAAAAACAAAGAGGGACATTATATAATGATAAAAGGACTAGTCCAGTAGGAAAATATCATAATTCTAAATATATATGCACCTAACACTAGAGCTCCCAAATGTATAAAACAATTACTAATAGACCTAAAAAATGAGACAGACAGCAACACAATAATAGTGGGGGATTTCAATACTCCACTGACAGCACTAGACAGGTCATCAAGAGAGAAAGTCAACAAAGAAACAATGGATTTAAACTATACCCTGGAACAAATGGACTTAACAGATATATACAGAACATTCCATCCAACAACTGCAGAATATACATTCTATTCAACAGCACATGGAGATTTCTCTAAGAAAGAACATATGATAGGCCACAAAACAAACCTTGATAAATTTAAGAAAATTGAAATTAGATCAAGCACTCTGTCAGACCACAGTGGAATATAACTAGAAATCAACTCCAAAAAGAACCTTCAAAACCATGCAAATGCTTGGAAATTAAATAACCTGATGCTGAATAATTGGGTAAAAAATGAAATCAAAATGAAAATTAAGAATTTTTTTGAATTGAACAATAATAGTGACACAACCTATCTAAACCTCTGGGATACAGCAAAAGTAGTGCTAAAAGGAAAGTTCATAACCTGAAACGCCTACATCAAAAAGTCTAAAAGAGCACAAACAGACAATCTAAGGTCACACCTCAAGGAACTAGAGAAACAAGAACAAACCAAACCCAAACCCAGCAGAATAAAGGAAACAACAAAGATCAAGCAGAACTAAATGAAATTAAAACAAAAAATACAAAAGATAAATGAAACAAAAATCTGGTTCTTAGAAAAGATAAATAAAATTGACAGACCATGAGCAAGATTAACCAAGAAAAGAAGAGAGAAAATCCAAATAAGCTCAATAAGAAACGAAATAGGAGATATACAACTGACACCACAGAAATACAAAAGATCATTCAAGGCAACTATGAACACCTTTACGTACATAAACTAGAAAACCTAGAAGAGATGGATACATTGCTGGAAATATACAGCCCTCCTAGATTAGATCAGGAAGAATTAGATACCATGAACAGGCCAATAACAAGCAGCAAGATTGAAATGGTAAATTAAAAATTATCAACAAAAAAAGTCCAGGGCCAGATGGATTCACAACAGAATTCTACTAGACATTCAAATAAGAATTGGTACCAATCCTACTGACACTATTCCAAAAGATAGAGAAAGAGTGAACCCTGCCTAAATCATTATGTGAAGCCAGTATCATGCTAATATTAAAACCAGAGAAGGACATAACCAAAAAAGAAAACTACAGACCAATAACCCTGGTGAACATAGATGCTAAAATCCTTCACAAAATACTAGCTAACTGAATCCAACAACATATCAAAAAGACAATACAACATGATCAAGTGGGTTTCATACCAGGGATGCAAGGACGGTTTAACATACACAAATCAATAAATGTGATATACCACATAAACAGAATTTAAAAAAAAATCACATGATGATCTCAACAGACGCAGAAAAAGCATTCAACAAAATCCCCATCCCATTATGATTAAAACTCTCAACAAAATCGGCATACAAGGGACATACCTCAAAATAATAAAAGCCATCTATGACAAACTCACAGCCAACGTAATACTGAATGGGGAAAAATGGAAAGGATTTCCTCTGACAACTGGAAAAAGACAAGGATTCCCACTCTCGCCACTCCTCTTCAACATAGTACTGGAAGTCCTAGCCGTAGCAATCAGACAAGAGAAAGAAATAAAGGGCATCCAAATTGGTAAAGAGCAAGTCAAACTGTCACTGTTTGCTGATGATATGATCATTTCCCAAGAAAACCCTAAAGGCTCCTGCAGAAAGCTCCTAGAACTGATAAAAGAATTCAGCAAACTTTCCAGATACAAAATTAATGTACACAAATCAGTAGCTCTTCTATACACCAACAGTGATCAAGCTGAGAATCAAATCAAGAACTCGACCCCTTCTACAAGAGCTGCAAAAAATAAATAAAATACTTAGGAATATACCTAATAAAGGAGGTGAAAGACCTCTACAAGGAAAACTACAAAATACTGCTGAAAGAAATCATAGACAACACAAACAAATGGAAACATATCCCATGCTCATGGATAGGTAGAATCAACATTGTGAAAAATAACCATAGTGTCAAAAGCAATCTGCAAATTCAATGCAATTCTCATCAAAATACTACTATCATTCTTCAAAGAATTAGAAAAAACAATTCTAAAATTCATATGGAACTGAAAAAGAGCCTGCATAGCCAAAGCAAGACTGAGCAAAAAGAACAAATCTGGAGGCATCACATTACCTGATTTCAAACTATACTATAAGGCCATAGTCACCAAAACAGCATGGTACTGGTATAAAAAAAAAGGCACATAGACCAATGGAACAGAATAGAGAACCCAGAAATAAACCCAAATACTTACAGCCAACTGATCTTCAGCAAAGCAAACAAAAACATAAAGAGGGGAAAGGACACACTTTTCAACAAATGGTGCTAGGATAATTGGTTAGCCACATGTAGGAGAATGAAACTGGATCCTCATCTCTCACCTTATACAAAAATCAACTCTGGTGGCTCACGCCTGTAATCCCAGCACTTTGGGAGGCCAAGTGGGGGTGGATCACCTGTGGTCAGGAGTTCAAGACCAGACTGGCCAACATGGCAAAACCCTGTCCCTACTAAAAATACAAAAACAGGCAGGCGCCTGTAATCCCAGCTACTTGGGAGGCTGAGGTAGGAGAATTGCTTGAGCCTGAAAGGAGGTTGCATTGAGCCAAGAACGTGCCACTGCACTCCAGTCTGGGTGACAAACTGAGAGTCCGTCTCAAAAAAGAAAAAAAAAATCAACTCAAGATGGATCAAGGACTTAAATCTGAGACCTGAAACTATAAAAATTCTGGAGGATAACATTGGAAAAACCCTTCTAGACTTTGGCTTAGGTTAGGATTTCATGACCAAGAACCCAAAAACAAATGCAATAAAAACAAAGATAAATTACTAGGACTTAATTAAACTAAAGAGCTTTTGCACAGCAAAAGGAACAGTCAGCAGAGTAAACAGACAACCCACTGAGTGGGAGAAAATCTACAAAATCTATACATCTGACAAAGGACTAATATCCAGAATCTACAAGGAACTCAAATAAATCAGCAGGAAAAAAACCAAACAACCCCATCAAAAAGTAGGCTAAGGACATGAATAGACAATTCTCAAAAGAAGATATGCAAATGACCAATAATCATATGAAAAAATGCTCAACATCACTAATCATCAGGGAAATGCAAACCAAAACCACAATGTGATACCACCTTACTCCTGCAAGAATGCCCATAATCAAAAAAAATGAAAAAATCAAAAAATAGTAGATGTTGGTGTGGATGTGGTGAACAGGGAACACTTCTACACTGCTGGTGGGAATGTAAACTAGTACAACCACTATGGAAAACAGTGTGGAGATTCCTTAGAGAACTAAAATTAGAACTACCATTTGATCCAGCAATCCCACTACTGGGTATCTACCCAAAGGAAAAGAAGTCATTATGCAAAGAAGACACTTGCACACGCATGTTTATAGCTGCACAATTCACAATTGCAAAAACGTGGAACCAACCCAAATGCCCATCAATCAACGAATGGATAAAAAAACTGTGGTCTTTCTGCACATGTATCCCAGAACTTAAAGTATAATAATAAAAAAAACACAGACATGCCCACCAGTGCCATGACACTTTACCACTGCTGTGGCAACACCCAGAAGTTACCACCCCTTTTCTAGAAATTTCTAAATTTCTAGAAAATCAGAAATTTAGAAGTTAGAAAATTAGAAATTACATGCCCCTTAACTTGTACATAATTAAAAGTCGGGGAGCAGGTGCAATGGCTCATGTCTGTAATCCCAGCACTTTGGGAGGCCGAGGTGGGCAGATCACTTGAGGTCAGGAGTTTGAGAACAGCCTGGCCAACATGGTGAAACTCCATCTTAAAATAAATAAATAATAAATAAAATAAAAGTGGGTATAAATATGAATGCAGAACTGCCCCTGAGTTACTAATCTGGGCACACTACCTACGGGTTAGCCCTGCTCTGCAAGGAGCAGTACCTCTGCTGCTGCTGTACACTGCTACTTCACAAAAGTTGCTGTCTAACACCATAAAAAAAAAAGAAGAAACTGTGGTATATACGACAGAATACTACTCATCCATAAAAAGGAATGAGTTAATGGCATTCGCAGCAACCTGGATAAGATTGGAGTCTATTATTCTAAATGCAGTAACTCTGGAATGGAAAACCAAACATTGTGTGTTCTCACTCATAAGTGGGAGCTAAGCTATGAGGATGCAAAGGCATAAGAATGACACAATGGGCTGGGCGCGGTGGCTCACGCCTGTAATCCCAGCACTTTGGGAGGCCGAGGCAGGTGGATCACGAGGTCAGGAGTTCGAGACAATCCTGGCTAACACGATGAAACCCCGTCTCTACTAAAAATACAAAAAATTAGCTAGGCATGGTGGTGGGCACGTGTAGTTCCAGCTACTTGGGAGGCTGAGGCAGGAGAATGGCATGAACCCGGGAGGCAGAGCTTGCAGTGAGCCGAGATCGTGCCACTGCACTCCAGCCTGGGCAAGAGAGCAAGACTCCGTCTCAAAAAAAAAAAAAAAAAAAAAAAAAAAAAGAATGACACAATGGACTTTGGGGACTCAGGCAGAAATGATGGGAAGGGAGTGAGGAATAAAAGACTGCAAATAGGGTGCAGTGTATACTGCTCAGGTGATGGGTGCACCAAAATCTCACAAATCTCCCCTAAAGAACTTACTTATGTAATGAAACACCACCTGCTCCCCAATAACCTATGGAAATATAATTTTTTCTAAAAAAAAAGTACCTAAAGGCTGCAACACTGCAGCCTTTAATATGAAGGCTGAAGACACACAGAAGATAGCCAGATATATAAAAACAGCCAGGAATGGGGTACATGGAAAAAAGAATGGAGAAGAGGAAAATCTCAAGTGTGTAGCATTAAACTATCTGATTTAGAATTGAAGTTCCCATATATGCTCTAAGATTTTGCTCTCATTTCATAGTGGCATTGTTTTAATTCTGAAGGTTCCTCATCAACAAAAGCTTTCCTGACAAGGAAGGATCTGTCCAATTTATCTCTGTGTAGTGTAGGCATATACTAGGTTCTCAAATAATAGAGATGGAAAGTATGACAAAGACAAAGTATTTATCCAAATGCTGGGGGAAGTACATTTCTAAGGAGCCCCACAAAGCCGGAGGTAGGAGATTGTGACATAATATTTGAATCTTTGCAACAATAAAGTATTCCATACATCCATCAAAAAATATTTATTTTGTATCTCCTTTGTGCATTCACTGCATTAGAAAACGACCATACAGCCCCTACCCTCAAGGGTGTTACAGCAGAGATACAAGCCACTTGGCAGGTAGAATACAGTAATCAGTACTCTGTACTGTGATAGATGAAAGGAAGTGTTGGTGCTATGGGAGTAGAGAAGAAAGACCCCAACCCAGTTTGGAAACTCAGAATAGGTTTTTTGAAAGAGATTCATTGAACACCTCCCGTTTGCCAGGCCCTGTGCTAGATGCTGGAGTTAACAGAGATGCCTGAGACACTTGCTCCTATTCTAGAAACTCTCTAGGGGCTTATGGGGGACACAAGAGAGACACATCTACCCAATAACCCTAAGGCAGTGGGAAATGTGCTAAACAGAATATGTGCTATAGGAGCACAAAGGAAGGAGCTGCTGTCTCTGAATGTTGCCCAGCCTATCTCTCCTAACTGAACTCCATTTATGCTACAACTACAACAGAACAAGCGGCATCACACGGCAATGCCCCAACATGCCCAGGATGAGGGCTCCTTCTTCCCAAGACTTCCTAGAGATGATGCTATTCAGTCTCAGAAGGAAACCACAGTGACTTCTGAGTTCCTGTTCATCTCAATGTGTTGGACTTAGACATCCCCCTTGGGATGCCATTCCCTAAGGAATCTAATCCACACCATTAAGCTCCAAATGCTTTTTCCTTTTCCATCAAAACTGGGTTATTTGTTCTTCATTTAGCAAACCAAGTTTATGGTTAGGGGTCTAAAATAATTAGTTCTGCTTATTGTATCTTATAGCTCATAGGCAAAAAAAGCTCAAAAAGACTCATTGTTTGTGTGAATACAGATACCACATACCTGTTGGACTAGTCTCTGGGGGACTCAATGATGCCTTCCACTGGACATGAAGAAGACTCATGAATTTAGAGCCAGAAAGCCGGAGAGCCAGAGAGCTTGAAGGAGTCTTAGAAATCTATAATTTACGCTAACTCCATAATTTTACAGATGAGCAAACTGAGGAAAAGGGAACTGCTCAAGACCCAGTAGTTAGTGAGAGGATTGGAACTGTAATACAGGCTTCTCAACTACTTTTGAAAACATAGTAATCAGGCCACTATAGGAGTAGCAGGCCCATTAAGAACATATAAGATCTACTAAGAGAAAGAAAATTGAGAGCTTTAAGATCTAAGCTGGCTCTCCCACCCCACATGAAAATCCTCCCTCCATTCCTAACTCTGAAAAATAAATGGGTTAGATTTCACTAAAGGAACTTTCAGATTTCCTTACATTCCTCCTTCAACTCCTCCCTCCCACCCCCCTCCCACTCCCTACCAAATTAACAACCACCAATACCTCCAGCTTGGAGGAAAAACAAAACAACGACATTGGATTGCTCTCTTTGGGAGCAACCCTATTTACTTGCACTATAGCATGGCATATAAGGAATGAGAGAGGCCCTAAAGTTCAGAGAAGCAGTCCTTCTTTTAGGACTATCGTCCTGGCTGTATTGCCCATACAGCAGCAAATGCATACTGATGCACTGAGTTCTTCCAGAGGAATTAACAAGTACAACTCCCAAGTGCTTCTCTTACCTCAGAGAGGCAGTATCTCACAATGGAATGAATAGAGAAATGTTGACTCATTAGGGACAGCAGTGGGAGAGAAGTAGAAGGCACCCTGTGGGCAACAGACAGCTCTTGCAGCAGGCAAGCAAAATAGTGCAGTGATGAGGAACAGCCTGATCCTCCTTCTGTGAGCCCCAGCCACTCTTTGGAGGTTATCAGAAAACGGAGAGAAGAAACCAGAGGGGAATTTCAGACCTGAAAAATGAAAGTGCAGGACCATAGCATCTTCAATATTTCTTCTCTCTCCATTTTCAGTCTCTGAAATAAAAAATGCCTAGGCCTGGATACCTAGAATTATATTTCTGAGACACGGAACAATTGCCACATTGAAATGACGGAGACCCAGAGAAATCTAAACAGATAAATTCTGTCAAACATGGCTTTAAAACCAACAGTTATCACTAGTCAAACTCTTCCAAAAAAACTTTGCAAGAATTCCAGTTGAGTATTGCTCTTATCTCAAGAGTTACACATTCAACCAGAAAAGAATTACAGGTCTCTTTTTGATACCCCTGTTCCACTTCCAAATTCAGCCAGTATCAAACAAGGGAAAAGATGAGAGGGTAGGGAGCAATGACAGAATAATTTGTCTCCACAAAACCAAGGTCTTATAGGACCCTTTAGGATACAATTTACACAGATGCTTTTGCCTTGAAACTCATATTGCACTTGGGATTCTTTTTCACCTAGATGAGAGAAATGATTTTGAAAGTGCTAAGCTTAATTGATTTGCAGCCACATCAACTCAGACCCCCAGAGACTCCAATTATATATCCCATGATACCCAGGGCCTGCAGGAAGCAGACTTTCCCCTGAGATTGGTAGATGGGCTTCACAGTCAAGTGTTATGATTAACCCGAAGTTCTTTTTTCAATACAGATGAAGGACATCACAGTCCTCTCGTCCTTATTCAGGCTTAAAGGCTATTAGAAATGTGACACAGCAGCCTTACGATAGCAAAGGTGAGTGGAATTCTAGAAAAGTCAAATGAGTTGATAAAATGCTTTGTTGTTTGAGCTTATTTATACCAGTATGCTAATGAAGCAAAAGATGGGAGGTCATATTTTCTCTTCTACAGGCTAGAAGTTAATGGCTTTGAAGCACCAGAGATAGGCTCAGATAGACCAAGCACTTACACAAGGTTGTGTATCAATTTTTAGGAGCCTGGAAAGCTATAAGGACCCTCAAGTGCTTTCAAGCACATTAGTCCTGTTTTACATAAAGCATAATAAGCCTGGTTGATGGTAGAGAAATAATAATGTTGTTAATCCAAGCAGCTTAGAGGTGAATCATCTACTCCAACAATCCAGACTGATTTAATGCCCTTTGGACAGTATGACTCAGTTCTTTCCTGGAGGGCTAATGGACAATCACCATCTCATTTAGGCCCCATTCAGAATCTTTTCTGATTCTGCATGAACAAAACAGGACAATGGTTTCCTGTGATGCAGCCTGAAATACTGGCCTTAAGTGATTGTGCCTCAGTGGGAAGAATTCAGCTATTATGCAAAACTCAGGCCTACACACCTTTTCTTCCTGAATTTATCAGCTCTCTTTGGTAATTGATATTACCTACAGAAGATGGTAAAGATGAGGTCAGTGTCAACCAACGAAAAATCCAAATCATAGGACAATTTAAAAGAAACAAGCTTTATTACTCTCAAGTAAAAACAACTCAAACTGGACTCAAAATGCTTTAAGGAAGTATTGTCCCAGAATGTCCCTAAGAGACCTATTTAATGAATAATTGGAATTATTTGTAATTGGTAAGTCAATTACAAATTGAAGGGGAGCTTCTAAACTAAAATAGTTTAAAGATGTAAAGGCACCAAACAGTCCTATGTGAGACCAAGATTAAAATTCCAATGAAGAAAAGCTTTGCTAATATTGGCAAAATAGTAATAAATGTTGAAGTTGGATGATGGGTGTATGGAGGTTCATTATACTATTCTCTTTCTGTGTATGTTTAACTGTTTCCATAATAGTTCTTTTTGAAGACCTTTGCTGAACAAAGGTAACTTTTAGGTCAGCCCTCTGAATTATGGCAAATTTGAAATTACTAGGATTAATATTAGAGCTTTGACTCTATTAAAGATTTTTATCAAAGCTCTCAGACCCTTGAACTTCACTGTCCCAAACTCAGCCTGCCTATATTCAAGCTACAGGCAAGGGTAATTGGGATCCTACAGAGCCATACCTTGTTCTGCTCCTAGTGAAAATATCAAGGGAAGCATGACAGAAAGGAAAAGAGAAGATATTGGTCCAGGAGATGAAGGGATAGCTTTGAAAGCCAAAGCCTGTTTTGATGGCATCACCTGCTGTCCATTTTCCACTTTGAGAGAGATTTGTTATGGAGAGAAATTGTCCTACATTCTCTCTCTCTTGCTTCAATTCTATCAACCACCATAATAAGTAGGCCACTTTCTCCTGGCCAGAATAAGCTCAGCTAGATGGAGAACCCATGAGGGACTATGCCTTCAGTCCACTGCTTTACACTAATGAGGGAAACACTTCAGGCTCTGAAGTGTCTCCCATACTGGGGCCATTCTTAGTCAAGCACATTTCTCATCTGTCATTGTTCCACTAAACATATTATTGAAGTAGCTTTGAGGGGCTAGGCAGTGAAGCTTGGAAATCTTCCACATGTAAATTTTTTCATTTTACCAAGAGACTATTTCCAGGCAAGAAGCCATAACTTCTATAAGCAAACTTCACTCTTCCCATGACAAAGTAAACTAAATTCAAGAAAGAAGGTATCCTACACAGTGAATTCTATACAAGTCACAGTACAGTAGGCTTTTTCAAGACTTCTGAACTGTAAAAAAAAAAAAAAAAAAGAAAAAGAAAAAGAAAAAAAAGAAAGAGAAGAAAATACTGGATAAACTGCTGCGTTAGTTACTTGCAATAACTAGCACACTTGCAAATCTACCCTTGTCTCCATGGAGACAGCTAGGCCTAGCAACTACCTAAATACTAAACTACAAGGTATTACAGGTAAGTGTCAGGGGCCATGGGGGAATACTGTAGGAAAAAAGAGAAACATTTCCAACCATCTCAGACTATAATTCTACCATGACACCATGGGATTCTATGAACCCGCCTTGTTTTATTTCTATTCTTATTCCCATTGGATGAATTTCCTTCCCTTCGAGCAAAGAGAAATCTAAAGCTGAAAGGCTCAGGGTGATTGAATTGACCTTAAGGTTCATTTGGAAAATTGTCTTAAAAGAAGCCTTAGATGTGCATTGTGCCAAATTACTTCTCATCATGTTTGGCAAACATTTTTGAGACTTATTATGTGCTACTCACTCAAAAAATATTACTACATGGCAGGTACTGTGCTAGGCACTGGAGAAATGATGCTTTAACATTTTCAAAGATGTTCTCAGCTGTAACTACATTTTACCCTCTGATAGAAATAATGTAGGAATTATCATTGACCACATTTTACAGGTAGGGAAATTGAGACTGGGAAATGGAAAGACTTGCCCAAGGTAAACAGCAACATAGCAGTGGATTCTGAATTTGAACCCTGCTCTCCTAAAACCAAACTGATTTCAGTTTCAGTTATACAGCACTGCACTACTCAAAGGCCGGACATAGTGCTCCACAGTGGCATACATGTTAGGATGTATTAAGTCATTCACATGACCCCAAATAGTTTGCACTCTGGCTATGACTTCAAAACAATAAGCCTTATTACTGGTTTTCAGTTTGTGAAATTTTATCAAACTGTATACTTATAATATGCATACTCCTCTGTATGTATGTATATTATACTTCAATAAAAAGTTTTTTAAATCCTTCTCACTGTTCTGAAAATGTGCTTTCCTGTATGGACTAATCCTCAGGCCTTATAGGCACCATGCATTCCACCTTTATGCGCTGGGGTTAAAGAAATGTGGTTATTTACCCTCAAACTCTCATGGAGTTCTCCTTCTTAAACTGCTGCCTGCTGCCTTAAATTTTTCTCTCATGGAGCCAATATAGGGCCAGCAAATATCCAAAGCTTTTGCTGTCCTCTCTGACCCTGAGCCAAAATGGAAAGCGTATTCCAACTGATTCCCTGTAGACTAGACCCAATCCCCATCCCATCCTGCAAACTGCAATTCATTTTAATGACCATCTAGTGATCAGAGTCAGCCATTTTAACTAATTTTTCCCTTTCATGCCAAATTCACTGATTTAACAGCCCTGTGTAGAGTCTTCCCAATTGACCAGGGCAATATGGAAGTCAAAACTAGCTTTTCACATGGCACCTCACTCTGAGGGAAAATACTGTGTGGTCATTTAACTGAACTGCAATTTGTGGAGGACAAGATAAGGGGGCAAATCTAACCATCCTTTCTTATTTGGCTCAGGCAAAGACCCTCTGATCACCACCAATAACTTATCTGCCTTACTGTTGGCACAAGAGCTGTGCTCAGCCACTTCCAACACTATACCCATAGCAGTTACTCTTTCCAACTGAGCTTAGACACAAACTCATGTTCTTCAACAACAGGCCTCCAAGAGCTAATACCAATCAATCAGAGGTGTCACATGAATTAAAACCCATTTACCATTCCTGTTTTAGACTTCCTTCCCAAGTTTTTTTACCCATATGATCTCTTTCATATGGAACATATTTCTTGTCAGGGTAATAAAGAGAAAACGTGGGTCACTAACGTTTTTCAACAGATGGATAAACCAACACCCAAAGAATGAAGCAACATTCTCAAAAGCACCTTGGTAGTTAGGATTTGACACTATTTTGTCGCTGATATAACAAGAATAAAGTTGTCTAGATTCCGGATATTAGTCCTTTGTCAGATGTGTATATTGTGAAGATTTTGTCCCAATCTGTGGGTTGTCTGTTTGCTGACTTTTCCTTTTGCTGTGCAAAAGCTCTTTAGTTTAACTAGGTCCAAGCTATTTATCTTTGTTTTTATTGCATTTGCTTTTGGGTTCTTGGTCAAGAAATTCTTGCCTAAGCCAATGTCTAGAAGGGTTTTTCCTACAACACACTCAAACAAATCAGTAAGAAAAAAACAAACAATCTCATCAAAAAGTGGGCTAAGGACATGAATAGACAATTCTCAAAAGAAGGTACACAAATGGCCAGTAATCATAAGAAAAAATACTCAACATCGCTAATGATCAGGGAAATGCAAATCAAAACCACATTGTGACACCACCTTACTCATGCAAGGATGGCCATAATCAAAAAAATAGTAGATGTTGGCATGGATGCAGTGAACAGGGTACACTTCTACACTGCTGGTGGGAATGTAAACTAATACAGTCACTGTGGAAAACAGTGTAGAGATTCCTTAAAGAACCAAGCGCAGAACTACCATTTGATCCAGCAATCCCACTACTGGGTATCTACCCAGAGGAAAAGAAGTCATTATTTGAAAAAGACACTTGCACATGCATGTTTATAGCAGCACAATTCACAATTGCAAAATCATGGAACCAATTCAAATGCCCATCAATCAACGAGTGGATAAAGAAAATGTGGTATATAGATACACAATGGAATACTATGCAGCCATAAAAAGGAATGAATTAACAGCATTTGCAGCGACCTGGATGAGATTGGGGACTATTATTCTAAGTGAAGTAACTCAGGAATGGAAAACCAAACATCGTATGTTCTCACTGGTACGTGGGAGCTAAGCTATGAGGACGCAAAGGCATAAGAATGATACAATGGACTTTGGGGACTTGGGGAGAAGAGTGGGAGCAAGGAGAGGGAAAAATACTACTCAGGTGATGGGTGCAACAAAATCTCACAAATCATTGCTAAAGAATTTACTCATGTAACAAAATATCACCTGTACCCCAATAGCTTATGGAAAAATAAATAAAAAATAAATTTTTTTTTAAAAAAGAATAAAGTTTTCTAGAACTGGAAAAATGGCATCAAGTCTTTGCGTACAAGTAGACAGTAGACAGCTGATAATTATTTCACTTTTCTTTACCTTTCTACTGCCTGGGGAAGCTGATATGAAGGAGCACAGTCATCTAGGCCAATTTATGGCTTTCTTCTAAACAACCTTCAGGTGCTCAATTGTTAGTTAATACCAGGAAGAAGGAAGGTTGAATCTAGAGATAGAAATTAGGATTAAGAGGAGACTTCTATTACTATATCAGAGTGATGAACTCTCTAAAATCTAAACTGACAACATCCAAATCACTGGGTGTTTGGCTCATTTTTAGTGAGACCATAGAGCTGCTTTCTTGGATGGGTGGTGTGTTGAATGAATATTAGTCTAGAAAATTATTTAGCATTACATAGATCATAGAATGTATCATAGACAGAAATAAACCAAATAGTCAAAATAAATAATAATTTTAGAGATGAGAATACTGAGGCCCACATTGGTTAAGCAACCTGCCTAAACTCAAGCAGCTATTTGGTGAAAGAAATAGCATTAGACTTATGATGTCACATGACTCCCATTCATGTCCAGTGCTCTTTCCACTTCATTAACTGAATCTATCACTATTTAATTACCTGTTTTATCATCATGCCGATATGACTTAAATAGCAAATACAAGAACAAGTGCCCTATTCCTGAATGAAAAGAATAACGGGAAAGACCAAATAACATATGTATTTCCCAATTCACACCTACAAGTTAAGGTTTAGATCTAAAACCTTAAGAAAAAGAAGTTTCTTACAAAAATTAACTCAAAATGGGTTAAAGACTTCAATATTAAACCCAAAACTATAAAAACCCTGGAAGACAACCTAGGCAACACCATTCTGGACATAGGAATAAGCAAAGATTTCATAACAAAGATGCCAAAAGCAACTGCAACAAAAGCAAAAATTGACAAATGGGATCTAATTAAACTAAAGAGCACAGCAAAAGAAACTATAAACAGCATAAACAGACAACCTACAGAATGGGAGAAAATTTTTGCAAACTAAGCATCTGACAAAGATCTAATATCCAGCATCTATAAGGAACTTAAACAAATTTACAGAAAAAAAACAAACAGCCCCATTAAATGGCGGGCAAAGGACATGAACAGACACTTTTCAAAAGACATACATGCAGCCAATGAGCATATGAAATAAAGTTCAACATCACTGATCATTAGAGAAATGCAAATCAAAACCACAATGAGATACCATTTCACACCAGTCAGAATGGCTATTACTAAAAAGTCAAAAAATAACAGCTGCTGGTGAGGTTGCGGAGAAAGGGAATGCTTATACACCATTGCTGGGAATGTAAATTAGTTCAACCATTGTGGAAAGTGGTGTGGCGATTTGTCAAAAAACTTAAAATATAAATACCATTTGACCCAGCAATTCCATTATTTGGTATATCCCCAAAGGAATACAAATCAGTTTATCGTAAATACATGTGTACTTATATGTTCACTTCAGCATTATAAACAAGAGCAAAGTCATGGAATCAACCTAAATGCCCATCAATGGTAGATTGAATAAAGTAAATGTGGTACATACCTACCATGGAATTTTATGCAGCCATAAAAAAGAACGAGATCAGAGATGGCTAGCAAGATGGCTGAGTAGGAACAGCTCCAGCCTGCAGCTCCCAGTGACAGCAACACAGAAGATGGGTGATTTCTGCATTTCCAGCTGAGGTACCTGGCTCGTCTCATTGGGACTGGTTAGACAGTGGATGCAGCCTATGCAGGGCAAGCTGAAGCAGGGTGGGGTGTCGCCTCACCCAGGAAGTGCAAGGGGATGGGGAACTCCCTTCCTAGCCAAGGGAAGCTGTGAGGGACTGTACCGTGAGGAACGGTGCATTCAGGCCCAGATACTATCTTTTCCCACAGTCTTCACAACCTGCAGACCAGGAGATTCCCTCAGGTGCGTACATCACCAGGGCCCTGGGTTTCAAGCACAAAGCTGGGTGGCCATCTGGGCACACACCAAGCTAGCTGCAGGAGTTTTTTTTCATACCCCAGTGGCACCTGGAACACCAGTGAGACAGAACCATTCACTCCCCTGGAAAGGGGGCTGTGGCCAGGGAGCCAATTGGTCTAGCTCAGCAGATCCCACTTCAAGGAGCCCAGCAAGCTAAGATCCACTGGTTTGAAATTCTTGCTGCCAGCACAGCAGTCTGAAGTGGACCTGGGATGCACAAGCTTGGTGGGGGGAGGGGTGTCCACCATTACTGAGGCTTGAGTAGGTGTTTTTTCCCCGCACAGTGTAAACAAAGCCGCTGGGAAGTTCAAACTGGGCAGAGCCCACCACAGCTTGGCAAAGCCACTGTAGCTAGACTGCCTCTCTAGATTCCTCCTCTCTGGGCAAGGCATTTTTGAAAGAAAGGCAGCAGCCCCACTCAGGGGCTTATAGATAAAACTCCCATTTCTCTGGGACAGAACACCTGGGGGAAGGGGCAGCTGTGGGCACAGCTTCAGCAGACTTAAACGTTCCTGCCTGCTGCCTCTGAAGAGAGCAGCAGATCTCCCAGCACAGCACTCGAGCTCTGCTAAGGGACACAACTGCCTCCTCAAGTGGGTCCCTGACACCTGTGCCTCCTGACTCGGAGACACCTCCTAGCAGGGGTCAAAAGACACCTCATACAGGAGAGCTCTGGCTGGCATCTGGCTGGTGCCCCTCTGGGATAAAGCTTCCAGAGGAAGACACGGTCAGCAATCTTTGCTGTTCTGCAGCCTCCGCTGGTGATACCCAGGCAAACAGGGTCTGGAGTGGACCTCCAGCAAACTCGAACAGACCTGCAGCAGAGGGGACTGACTGGTATAAGGAAAACTAACAAACAGAATGAAATAGAATTAACATCAACAAAAAGGATGTCCACTCAAAAACCCCATCCAAAGGTCACCAACATCAAAGAACAAAAGTATATAAATCTATGAAGATGAGGAAAAACCAGTGCAAAAAGGCTGAAAATTCCAAAAACCAGAATGCCTCTTCTCCTCCAAAGGATCACAACTCCTCGCCAGCAAGGGAACAAAACTGAATGGGGAATGAGTTTGACAAATTGACAGAAGTAGGCTTCAGAAGGTGGGTAATAACAAACTCCTCCAAGCTAAAGGAGCATGTCCTAACCCAATGCAAGGAAGCTAAGAATCTTGATAAAAGGTTATAGGAATTGCTAACTAGAATAACCAGCTTAGAGAAGAACATAAATGACCTGATGGAGCAGAAAAACACAGCACGAGAACTTCGTGAAGCATACACAAGTGTCAATAGCCAAATTGATCAAGCAGAAGAAAGGATATCAGAGATTGAAGATCAACTTAATGAAATAAAGCATGAAGACAAGATTAGAGGAAAAAGAATGACAAGGAACGAACAAAGCCTCCAAGAAATATAGGACTATGTGAAAAAACCAAACCTAAATTTAATTGGTGTACCTGAAAGCTGAGAGAATGGAACCAAGTTGGAAAACACTCTTCAAGCTATTATCCAGGCGAACTTCCCCAACCCAGCAAGACAGGCCAACATTCAAATTCAGGAAATACAGAGAACACCACAAAGATACTCCTTGAGAAGAGCAACTCCAAGACACATAATTGTCAGGAACACAAAGGTTGAAATGAAGGAAAAAATGTTAAGGGCAGCCAGAGAGAAAGGGTGGGTTACCTACAAAGGGAAACCCATCAAACTAACAGCAGAACTCTCTGCAGAAAACCTATAAGCCAGAAAAGAGTGGGGGCCAATATTCAACATTCTTAAAGAAAAGAATTTTCAGCCCAGAATTTCATATCCAGCCAAACTAAGCTTCATAAGTGAAGGAGAAATAAAATCCTTTACAGACAAGCAAATGCTGAGAGATTTTGTCACCACCAGGCCTGCCTTACAAGAGCTCCTGAAAGAAGCACTAAATATGGGAAGGAAAACCTGGTAACAGCCACTGCAAAAACCCCAAATTTGAAAGACCATTGACACTATGAAGATGCTGCATCAACTAACGGGCAAAATAACCAGCTAGCATCATAATGACAGGATCAAATTCACACATAACAATATTAACCTTAAATGTAAATGGGTTAAATCCCCCAATTAAAAGACACAGGCTGGCAAATTGGATAAAGGGTCAAGACCCATCGGTGTGCTGTATTCAGGAGACCCATCTCACATGCAGACACACATAGGCTCAAAGTAAAGGGAAGGAAGAATATTCGCCAAGCAAATGGAAAGTGAAAAAAAGCAGGGGTTGCAATCCTAGTCTCTGATAAAACAGACTTTAAACAAACAAAGATCAAAGAAGACAAAGAAGGGCATCACATAATGGTAAAGGGATCAATGCAACAAGAGCTAACTATCCTAAATACATACACACCCAATACAGGAGTATCCAGATTCATAAAGCAAGTCCTTAGAGACCTACAAAGAGACTTAGACTCCCACACAATAATAGTGGGAGACTTTAACACCCCACTGTCAATATTAGACAGATCAACAAGACAGAAAATTAAAAAGCATATTCAGGACTTGAACTCAGCTCTGGACCAAGCAGACCTAACAGATATCTACAGAACTCTCCACCCCAAATCAACAGAATATACATTCTTCTCAGCACCACATCACACTTATTCTAAAATTGACCACATAATTGGAGGTAAAAC
The DNA here is from genome assembly GCF_000001405.40 of Homo sapiens. Taxonomy (NCBI): domain Eukaryota; kingdom Metazoa; phylum Chordata; class Mammalia; order Primates; family Hominidae; genus Homo; species Homo sapiens. Next base: position 230,535 of record NW_021160027.1, on the reverse strand, counting down.
ACTCCTCAGCAAATGCAAAACAATGGAAATCATAAAAAACAGTCTCTCAGACCACAGTGCAATCAAATTAGAATTCAGAATTAAGAAACTCACTCAAAACTGCACAACTACATGGAAACTGAACAACCTGCTCCTGAATGACTACTTGGTAAATAATGAAATTAAGGCAGAAATAAAGAAGTTCTTTGAAACCAATGAGAACAAAGACACAATGTACCAGGATCTCTGGGACACAGCTAAAGCAGTGTTTAGAGGGAAATATATAGCACTAAACGCCCTCAGGAGAGAGCGGGACAGATCTAAACTTGACAACCTAACGTCACAATTAAAAAACTAGAGAAGCAAGAGCAAACACATTCAAAAGCTAGCAGAAGGCAAGAAATAACTAAGATCAGAGCAGAACTGAAGGAGATAGAGACACAAAAAACCCTTCAAAACATCAGTGAATCCAGGAGCTGGTTTTTTGAAAAGATCAACAAAATTGATAGACCGCTAGCAAGACAAATACAGAAGAAAAGAGAGAAGAATCAAACAGACACAATAAAAAATGTTAAAAGGGATATCACCACCAATCCCACAGAAATACAAACTACCATCAGAGAATACTATGATGAAACATAGTATTTATTTGCTCAGACAAAACACCTCTATGCAAATAAACTAGAAAATCTAGAAGAAATGGATAAATTCCTGGACACATACACCCTCCCAAGACTAAACCAGGAAGAAGTTGAATCCCTAAATAGACTAATAACAGGCTCTGAAATTGAGGCAATAATTAGTAGCCTACCAACGAAAAAAAGTCCAGGACCAGACAGATTCACACCAAATTCTACCAGAGGTACAAGGAGGAGCTGGTACCATTCCTTCTGAAACTATTCCAATCAATAGAAAAAGAGAGAATCCTCCCTAACTCATTTTATGAGGCCAGCATCATCCTGATACCAAAGCCTGGCAGAGACACAACCAAAAAAGAGAATTTTAGACCAATATTCCTAATGAACATTGATGCAAAAATCCTCAATAAAATACTGGCAAACAGAATCCAGCAACACATCAAAAAGCTTATCCACCATGATCAAGTGGGCTTCATCCCTGGGATGCAAGGCTGGTTCAACATACGCAAATCAAAAACATAATCCAGCATATAAACAGAACCAAAGACAAAAACCACATGATTATCTCAACAGATGCAGAAAAGGCCTTTGACAAAATTCAACAACCCTTCATGCTAAAAACTCTCAATAAATTAGGTATTGATGGGACGTATCTCAAAATAATAAGAGTTATCTATGACAAACCCACAGCCAATATCATACTGAACGGGCAAAAACTGGAAGCATTCCCTTTGAAAACTGGCACAAGACAGGGATGCCCTCTCTCACCACTCCTATTCAACATAGTGTGGAATTTCTGGCCAGGGCAATCAGGCAGGAGAAGGAAATAAAGGGTATTCAATTAGGAAAAGAGGAAGTCAAATTGTCCCTGTTTGCAGATGACATGATTGTATATCTAGAAAACCCCATCGTCTCAGCCCAAAATCTCCTTAAGCTGATAAGCAACTTCAGCAAAGTATCAGGATACAAAATCAGTGTGCAAAAATCACAAGCATTCCTATATACCAATAATAGAGAGCCAAAACGTGAGTGAACTCCCATTCACAATTGCTTCAAAGAGAATAAAATACCTAGCAATCCAAGTTACAAGGGATATGAAGGACCTCTTCAAGAGGAACTACAAACCACTGCTCAATGAAATAAGAAAGGACACAAACAAATGGAAAAACATTCCATCCTCATGGATAGGAAGAATCTGAAAATGGCCATATTACCCATTTCTTCATCAAGCTACCATGGACTTTCTTCACAGAATTAAAAAAACTACTTTAAATTTCATATGGAACCAAAAAAGAGCCCATATAGCCAAGACAATCCTACGTAAAAGGAACAAAGCTGGAGGCATCATGCTACCTGACTTCAAACTACATTACTACAAGGCTGCAGTAACCAAAACAGCATGGTACTGGTACCAAAACAGACATATAGACCAATGGAACAGAACAGAGGCCTCAGAAATAACACCACACATCTACAATCATCTGATCCTGGCAAACCTGACAAAAACAAGCAATGGGGAAAGGATTCCCTATTTAACAAATGGTGCTGGGAAAACCGGCTAGCCATATGCAGAAAACTAAAACTGGACACCTTCCTTACACCTTATACAAAAATTAACTCAAGATGAATTAAAGACTTAAATGTAAGACCTAAAACCATCAAAACCCTAGAAGAAAACCTAGGCAATACCATTCAGGACATAGGCATGGGCAAAGACTTCATGACTAAAACACAAAAAGCAATGGCAACAAAAGCCAAAATTGACAAATGGGATCTAATTAAACTAAAGAACTTCTGCACAGCAAAAGAAACTATCATCACAGTGAACAGGCAACCTACAGAATGGGAGAAAATTTTTGCAATCTGCCCATCTGACAAAGGGCTAACATCCAGAATCTACAATGAATTTAAACAAATGTAGAAGAAAAAAGCAAACAACCCCATCAAAAAGTGGGCAAAAGAAACGAAGAGACACTTCTCAAAAGAAGACATTTTTGCCGCCAACAAGCATATGAAAAAAAGCTCATCATCATTGGTCATTAGAGAAATGCAACTCAAAACCACAATGAGATACCATCTCATGCCAGTTAGAATGGCGATCATTAAAAAGTCAGGAAACAACAGATGCTGGAGAGGATATGGAGAAATAGAAATGCTTTTACACTGTTGGTGGGAGTGTAAATTAGTTCAACCTTTGTAGAAGATAGTGTGGCAATTCCTCAAGGATTTAGAACCAGAACTACCATTTGACCCAGCAATCCCATTACTGGGTACATACCCAAAGGATTATAAATCATTCTGCTATAAAGACACATGCACACATATGTTTATTGCAGCACTATTCACAATAGCAAAGGCTTGGAACCAACCCAAATGTCCATCAATGATAGACTGGATAATGAAAATGTGGCACATATACACCATGGAATACTATGCAGCCAGAAAAAAGGTTGAGTTCATGTCCTTTGCAGGGACATGGATGAAGCTGGAAACCATCATTCTCAGCAAATTAACACAGGAACGGAAAACCAAACCCTGCATGTTCTCACTCATAATTGAGAGCTGAACAGTGAGAACACATGGACACAAGGAGGGGAACAACATACACTGGGGCCTGTTATAGAGGTGAGGGGAGGGAGAGCATCACGATAAATAGCTAATGCATGTGGGGCTTAATACCTAGGTGATGGGTTGATAGGTGCAGTAAATTTATAAGTGGGAGCGAAATGATGAGAACACACGGACACATAGAGGAGAAGAACACACACTGGTGCCTATCAGAGGGTGGATGGTGAGAAGAGAGAGAGGGTCAGGAAAAATAACTAACGGGTACTAGGCTTAATACCTGAGTGATGAAATAACATTTAAGAAAAGAAAATGCAAACTGGCTATGTCATGCTTCTATTAAGTCTTTACTTCCTTCATAATAACAACAAACCCCTGTGACACAAGTTTACCTATGTAACACACCTACATGTGTACCCCGAACTTAAAAAAAAGAAAAAGAAGTTTCTTTCATGACCCTGGGAAAGGTAGTTCTTCCAGGAAAGAAGGTCTAGTAAAAGGCCTACGATCCTGAGAGTTATTAATCCTGACCTGACTTTGAAAAATTATCACTTGATTAGACTACTTTATCAAGCTCCTGTCCACTCTCCCAGCCTCCAATCTCCCCATTCCAGTTCATCCTCCATAGTGTCACAAGAGTAATCTCTAAAAATTAAAAAAAAGAGAAGAAAAAGCAATTTGGCTATGTCATGCTTCTATTAAGTCTTTACTTCCTTCATAATATAGTACAAACCCTCTCAGCATGACATATAAAACTCTACTCTGTTTGGACCTCATCTACTTCTCATACAACCATCTCTCATTGCTCCTTCTGATAGTCTATCCCCTATGCAAACAATGTCCCAGCCACCTTTAATTTGTTACCATTGTGTAAATATAGTACATTGTTTAATGTGCTTTTACCTTTGCACACCCTATTTCCTCAACCTAACATACCTGTCCCCTCCATTCCTCTTCTAAAAATACCTACTTTTCCTTTAAGACTCAGTTTAAATGTTACCTCTTCTGTGAAACCCTCCCTATGCTTACCATGAAGAATTCATCCTTTATACTTCCACAGCATCCTGGGCATGCAACTATCATAGTACTTATGTTACTTATAATAACCACACTGTATTGTCAGTTTGTCTATCTCCTAAGTTTCTTGAAGGGTAAGTCTGTATCATTTTCATCTCTGTATCCCAAACATATGGCCTGGCCCAGAGTGTTACTCAATAAGTGTTTATTAAGTAAATGAATGGATGAGCTATGATAAGAACTGCTATTTATGATCAACATATAACATAATATATACAGTTAACAAATAAGGCATGACTAGTCTTCTTTGATGCCCCTATTCTTTATTTGGAGCTTTAATCTAAGGATTTAGGGAATTTAGAATTGCCAGCTGGAAGAAAAACAAGTTTGTCTCGACTATATCTTTCTTGGGGAGCTGTTGACCATTTCGTGGATATAAGGGAAGGAGCTTGACCATCAAAGTCTACTTTTCAGTCTTTCTGAAGCAATGAACTTCTCATTGTACCACTCCACTTCTAATTTTGATTTAAATTTCCTGACATTATAGCACAACTCCTAAAATTTAGAATTTATTTTCCCTTTTTCCTCTTAATCCTCTTATTTTTTCCCCAACTTTATCCCTCACCAAGAGCTGATTTTCATTGCATGTATTTAAATAAACTGCCAACCCATTATGCCATTTTCACTAGATGCCTAGTAATAAAGTAGGACCTTCTCCAAGGTCATTCATATACTCTGAAATCTGGGAAAGTGCTGAGAGAAAAATAGGTAGATAGCTCAATCTGTCATGTGGATCTAAGGAGAATGTACAAATACCTCATTTCCATAACGACATTGTACTTGGTGTCCCAACATAATGAATCATATGCTATGACTGAAAACTAAACAGAGTCTAATGGTAAATGCATTAATTAGTGACCTGTTTACACTTCTCCTGGGAAGGATGGCCATTTGTTACAGCTGCTGTCATGCAAGAATACTGACTGTGGTTGGGTCTCCACTCTGGGAATGCATATAAATTTGTGAGATTCTCCCACATTATCATTTGCTGACAGGCGTTAATGACACTAATGAAGGCAGGAGAGATTGATTCAAACACACAAATAATTAGAATTGATAATAGAAATGTGAACAGGGCCCTCACTAATAAATTTATTAATGATGCAGAGATGGAAGTTAAAAAGCGGGTGTCTAGACATATATTTATAGCACTTCCACCTCCTTCAATCAAAGATAATTCTTCTACCTCTTTGATTTATCCATCTTTTAGTTATATACCTAAGAAAGCAGAATACTCATGTTATGGTAAAAAGAAATACAGAGAAAAGAGAATAGATCCAGCTCTATTCGGTTAATGACAATTATCAGTGAGAATAGTGCCTGCAATCAAAAGATCACCAGCTTTTGTCTTAGGAAATGTTTGATGATGGATGTAAATTAAAGAGTTTATTCAGAGGAAAAGGAGCATTTACTAATGATGTTCAAGCCTAGTTGAAGTCTTCTAATTTAGAAAAGATGAGTGTATTATTACCAATTTGCCTCCCATATCACTGATTTCTCAGGCAACAACACCCTTGACAAATAGTCACATTGTAATGAGGAAAATAGTATGTGTTGGCAACATTCTGTTAATAATTTACACTTTCATTATCTTTTTTTGTCATGACTGAATGACCAAATCTCTCTATTTCTGATCAAGAGAGGACAACAGAACGCCAATGTTTTTGGAAAGTCATGCCTGTAGTCATTCAGGTGTTTGCACTATCTAAGCAACTGGTTTGACCAACTTGTAGCCTGGTTTTATTGGGAACATAACTACAGAGTTCCAAACCAACTGGTTGGAGCAAACAATTAAAAAAAACAGTGTAGAGGTGTTCAGTGTAGAGGTGATGAACAAAGTCAGTTGCATTATTAAATTAGTCTTTTACTAATTACTTTACTGAAGAAACCCATCAGTTTTAGTGCTCAGATCAAAGTTCCTGAATAGATATAATCATATTAAACAGTGAATGACACATTAGCTTTACCAAGTTGCGTCATCAAACTGAGAATACCGATGATTCCATTGTAAATATAGCTATGTACTCTGAGGACTGATAGACAAGTAAATCTCTGCCATCTTTTCAATGGAAACTTACTCTCAAAAAACTTTAAAAATTGTATAATGCCATATAAGGGCCCCAGAGTGGAGGCAGTGAGATTTCATTTTTAAGAGAGTGATTACCCACTTAGGCTGTTAAGCTTTATTAGGAGTCTGTTTTAATAGGAATCTGGTTTGAATTAAGAGTAAAATGAAACTGTAACACACAAGAGGCCTAACACCAGCCTTGAGTTTGGTCTCAGAGCTAAGAGACAGATGGCTTCCCATTGCCCCTCAGAAGCTTTTATGTTTTAAGCATGTTGATTATTTTATCCTGCTAATAATCTGTGTGCTCTGTGATCACATGATCAGTCAGTCCCCCTACCCCTACAGAGAATATACAGGATGTGAATAGTTTCCAGCTGCCTAATGTTGACTCTGTGGTACAGATACATATTTTTAAATCATAACTTGGACTCTCTCCACCCAGGGTCCTGTTGCCTCAGGCTCCAAACAATCACAAGTCAGCAGGTTGCATCTAGGGTTCAGCTGGGACTCAGAACCAGGAGATTCACTTTAGTAGATCTCCAAGGCTGCAGTGTAAAACTGATGATGTGAGCAAAGGGTAGTTAGGCACAGCTCTAATTGCCCAGGTGCAAATTTGTCCCATTTGTGAGAAATTTCACTATTACTAAGTAGCTAGCTGGTAATGGAACAGTTCAGTCCACACAGCCACACTGAATATGGCATCACGAATCAAATTTATTCACTTATTTATTACTTCATTAACGTAAGAAATATTTATTGAGTATCTATTATGTGCCAAGCATTATACTGGGTCCTAGGGATACAGCAGTGAACAAGACAGACACAGTTTCTGACTTCACAGGGTTTATTTTGTTTGTGCTAGCAGAAGTATAGCGCAGAGGTTAAACACTCACCAGCCAGGCTGCTTAGGGTGTAAATCCTGGCTTTTCTGCTTACTAGCTTTGTGAATGTGGCAAATTACTTTCCTCCTCTGAGTGCCTTAGTTTCCCATCTAAAAGACTGTGATAAAACCATTATCTAACTCATTGAGTTGACATGAAAATTAACTGGGTTAATGTCACATGGTAAGCACTACATAAGTGTTGGACATTTTTGTTAGCTATGTTCTGCAGTGTCTGCTGATCATTCTGGAAACAACAGTCCACAACCCATGAATTATTGCTTCCAAGGTACAGTGTGGCTCCTCTTACCACTCACAATGGAGATTTTCCTAAATCTGAGGTAAAGAAACGAGTATAACTTCAAGACCTACTACCATTAAACTCCAAAAACTAATCTCTGTCATCTTTTGACCTCAATTGCCTCATCTGTAAATTGCAGCTTGTAACTAGATGACCTGGTACTAGTAGTGGTCAAAAACACAGGGTTTGAATACTGGCTTCACTACTAACTAGTTTTATGATCTTGAGCAAGTAAATTTTAAGAGCTTTTCTTTGTTTTTCATGCTCTGCAATTTTACTATGATATATCTAGAAGCAGGCTTATTTTTACTCATTCTACTTAGGACTCATGCTTTTTGAATTTCAAGACTCCCATCATTCATCAATTCTGAAAAAAATTCATTATCTCTTTAAAAATTAGCTGTCCCCCATTCTCTCTAGTACCTCCATTAGGAATTCATTTTAGACGTATATTGGACCTTTTGCCTATCGTCCATGTCTTTTAACCTCTCTTCAAGGATCTCAAATAGTGATTTAAACACAAAGCCCTAAAATATCAAGACATGCCCTCAGTAACTTTAACTGCAAAACTCCTGTCAATTAACCTAGTCAAACACACTACTCAGTCAAACAAATAGTTTGGCTAATGTTTTTTAACTTGACTAGTCATCTGAGTGAATTAACTTAAAACTCTTTTCTTTTTTTTTTACTTTAAGTTCTGGGATACATGTGCAGAATGCACAGGTTTGTTACATAGGTATACGTGTGCCATGGTGGTTTGCTACACCTATTGACCCATCATCTAGGTTCCCTCCCCTTGCCCCCACCCCCCACGGGCCCCAGTGTGTGTTGTTCCCCTCCCTGTGTCCATGTGTCCTCATTGTTCAACTCCCACTTATAAGTGAGAATATACGGTATTTGGTTTTCTCTTCCTGCGTTAGTTTGCTGAGGATGATGGCTTCCAGCTTCATTCAAGTCCCTGCAAAGGATATAATCTCATTCCTTTTTATGGCTGCATAGTATTCCATGGTGTATATGTACCACATTTTCTTTATCCAGTCAATCATTGATGGGCATTTGGGTTGGTTCCAAGTCTTTGCTATTGTAAATAGTGCTGCAATAAACATATGTGTGCATGTGTCTTTATAGTAGAATGATTTATAATCCTTTGGGTATATACCAGTAATGGGATTGCTGGGTCAAATGGTATTTCTGGTTCTAGATCCTTGAGGAATTGCCACACTGTCTTCCACAGTGGTTAAACTAATTTACATTCCCACCAACAGTGTAAAAGTGTTCCTATTTCTCCACAGCCTCGCCAGTATCTATTGTTTCTTGACTTTCTAATAATCGCCATTCTTACTGACATGAGATGGTATCTCATTGTGGTTTTGATTTGCATTTCTCTAATGATCAGTGATGCTGAGCTTTTTTTCACATGTTTGTTGGCCGCGTAAATGTCTTCTTTTGAGAAGTGTCTGTTCATATCCTTTGCCCACTTTTTGATGGGGTTATTGCAGAGACACACACACACACACACACAAAAAAAACTTCAGGCCAATATCCCTGATGAACATTGATGCGAAAATCCTCAATAAAATACTGGCAAACGAAATCTGGCACCACATCAAAAAACTTATCCACCATGATCAATTCGGCTTCATCCCTGGGGTGCAAGTCTGGTTCAACATACACCAATCAATAAACATAATCCAGCATATAAGCAGAATTAAAGACAAAAACCACATGATTATCTCAATAGATGTAGAAAAGGCCTTTGACAAAATTCAATAGCCCTTCATGCTAAAAACTCTCAATATATTAGGTATTGATGGGACATATCTCAAAATAATAAGAGCTATTTATGACAAACCCACAGCCAATATCATACTGAATGGGCAAAAGCTGGAAGCATTCCCTTTGAAAACTGGTACAAGACAAGGACTCCCTCTATCACCACTCCTATTCAACCCAGTATTGGTAGCTCTGGTCAGGAAAATCAGGCAAGAGAAGGAAATAAAGGGTATTCAAATAGGAAGACAAGAAGTCAAATTGTCCCTGTTTGCAGATGACATGATTGTATATTTAGAAAACCCCATCATCTCAGCCCAAAAACTTCTTAAGCTGATAAGCAACTTCAGCAAAATATCAGGATACAAAATCAATGTGCAAAATCACAAGTATTCCTGTACACCAACAATAGACAAACAGAGAGCCAAATCATGAATGAACTGCCATTCACAATTGCTACAAACAGGATAATATACCTAGAAATACATAACAAGGGATGTGAAGGATTTCTTCAAGGAGAACTATAAACCACTGCTCAAGGAAGTAAGAGAGGACACAAACAAATGGAAAAGCATTCCATCCTCATGGATAGGAAGAATCAGTATTGTGAAAATGGCTATACTGCCCAAAGTAATTTATAGATTCAATGCTACTCCCATCAAACTACCATTGATATTCTTCACAGAATTAGAAAAATCTACTTTACATCTTATATGGAACCAAAGAAGAGCCCATATAGCCAAGACAATCCTCAGTAAAAAGAACAAAGCTGGAGGCATCACACTAGCTGACTTCAAACTATACGACTACAAGGCTACAGTAACCAAAACAGCATGGCACTGGTACCAAAACAGACATATAGACGAATGGAACAGAACAGAGACCTCAGAAATAACACCACACATCTACAATCATCAGATCTTTGACAAACATGACAAAAACAAGAAATGGGGAAAGGATTCCCTAGTCAATAAATGGTGCTGGGAAAACTGGCTAGCCTTATGCAGAAAACTGAAACTAGACCCCTTCCTTACACCTTATACAAAAATTAACTTAAGATGGATTAAGGACTTAAATGTAAAACCCAAAACCATAAAAACCCTAGAAGAAAACCTAGGCAATACCGTTCAGGACATAGGCATGGGCAAAGACTTCATGACAAAAACGCCAAAAGCAATTGCAACAAAAGCCAAAATTGACAAATGGGATCTAATTAAACTAAAGAGCTTCTATACAGCAAAAGAAACTATCATCAAAGTGAACAGGAAACCTACACAATGGGAGAAAATTATTGCAATCTATTCATCTGACAAAGACCTAATATCCAGAATCTACAAGGAACTTAAATTTACAAGAAGACTTTTTTTTAATGCCCTAACGATGTCCAGCCAAGGCTTTCCAAAGTTATTCTCAGATGAAAAGCCAATTCTCATTTTGGTAGAGGATATGGAAATAAGTAAAATGGAAATGCTTTCAGCAAAAAATTACTCATCTCCTGAGTTAGAAGCTAGAAAATATTTGCTAAAGTATTTAGAAATAAACTTATGCTATTGCCACATACTACAAAGGAAGAGGACCAAGGTGATACTTTGCTGGTTAATTATTTGCATCTAAAGTGGAGAAAAGTCTCTCAAACTATTTTGAAGTTGTCAAATTTTAATACAAAATGCTTCCTTTAAGTCAATATCAAAAGTTTTAGTTGCTCTACTATCATGTGCCTAGCACTGTGTATGATTCTGAGGCTATACAAGAAATCAAACATATGGTCGCTCTCCTTAAGGTATTTGTAGTCTCCTTGGGAACACAAGCTAAACACATGAAAGAAGAAGAACAGAGGGGAAAACACTTTCATCTAGCATCTGCTGTGTGCTGGGAATGTTCACATCTAATCCTCACCACATTCCTATAAGACATGTTTTTCATTCATTCATTTAATGATGTACGTATGCCCAAGGTCATACCACTAGCAAGAGAGCAAGTTCAGATTCAAACCCAGGTCTGGTGCTGGAGCCATTATATCCACTATACTACACTGCCAAATGTTTAATTAAATTATACAGATTAAGTAAGGAGTACTGAAAAAGACAGGCAGTATAGCATGCTGCTGAATTAATGAAATTTGGAGTTAGACTGACCTGAGTTCAAATATCAGCTATGTGAATTTGGACAAGCTATTTAACCTTCCCAAGTCTCTTTCTTTGTCTATAAAATATGTACAGTTATTAAATAAAATAATGTACTTAAGGGATTTCACATAGTGCTTTCCATAGTAAACAATAAATACCAAGCATTATTAGTGTAACATTTAATTTTAAAGTTAATTTTTAAACTCAAAACTTATTTTTCCACTTTTGTATGCTAAGGGAGGAGGCATATTTCAGACTAGTGGAAGTATGTTCCCTTCCTCTCATGGAGATTGGTGGGAAAGGAGAAGAAAAATATATTTCATAGCCTCTGCTAGTTCTTTATACTGCTAAAGTAAGGTACTCTGGAAAAGATGGGCTACTATAAATAAAAGATACTTTGGATATGCAAAGGAAGGCTCTAGTCAATAGAGTGGAAAGGCAAGTTATTCTCAATAACATGGCAATATGAAATCTCTCAATCAACCCAAGACTTGAGTTGACTTCTGGATAACATGAATAAGAATTGTAAGAGTTCAAAGAGGAGGAGATAAAATGGGAGGTCATCCATGACATATCACTCCCCTGATCACCAGGTTTCATTCAGCTAATTATGCTGCATAGTAGGGACCTCTTTCTTTCTTCATTGTTTCATGGGCGTAGTACTCAAAGCATCACAGATAATGGAGGCTCATGCTTCCTTCTATCAGGGAGTAGCAAGCCACTGGGCCTCGTTGCTAGAACCTTATTTATTTTATTTATTTATTTATTATACTTTAAGTTCTAAGGTACATGTGCACAACATGCAGGTTTGTAACATATGTATACATGTGCCATGTTGGTGTGCTGCACCCATTAACTCGTCATTTACATTAGGTATATCTCCTAATGCTATCCCTCCTCCCTACCCCCACCTCACGACAGGCCCTGGTGTGTGATGTTCCCCACCCTGTGTCCAAGTGTTCTCATTGTTCAATTCCCACCTATGAGTGAGAACATGCAGTGTTTGGTTTTCTGTCCTTGCAATAGTTTGCTGAGAATGATGGTTTCCAGCTTCATCCATGTCCCTACAAAGGACATGAACTCATCCTTTTTTATGGCTGCATAGTATTCCATGGTGTATATGTGCCACATTTTCTTAATCCAGTCTATCATTGACGGACATTTGGGTTGGTTCCAAGTCTTTGCTATTGTGAATAGTGCCGCAATAAACATACATGTGCATGTGTCTTTATAGCAGCATGATTTATAATCCTTTGGGTATATACCCAGTAATGGGATGGCTGGGTCAAATGTTATCTCTGGTTCTAGATTCTTGAGGAATCGCCACACTGTCTTCCACAATGGTTGAACTAGTTTACACTCCCACCAACAGTGTAAAAGTGTTCCTATTTCTCCACATCCTCTCCAGCATCTGTTGTTTCCTGACTTTTTAACGATCGCCATTCTAACTGGTGTGAGATGGTATCTCATTGTGGTTTTGATTTGCATTTCTCTGATGGCCAGTGATGATGAGCAATTTTTCATGTGTCTGTTGGCTGCATAAATGTCTTCTTTTGAGAAGTGTCTGTTCCTATTCGTTGCCCACTTTTTGATGGGATTGTTTGATTTTTTTCTTGTAAATTTGTTTAAGTTCTTTGTAGATTCTGGATATTAGCTTTTTGTCAGATGAGGAGATTGCAAAAATTTTCTCCCATTCTGTAGGTTGTTTGTTCACTCTGATGGTAGTTTCTTTTGCTGTGCAGAAGCTCTTTAGTTTAATTAGATCCCATTTGTCAATTTTGGCTTTTGTTGCCATTGCTTTTGGTGTTTTAGACATGAAGTACTTTCCCATGCCTATGTCCTGAATGGTATTGCCTAGGTTTTCTTCTAGGGTTTTTATGGTTTTAGGTCTAACATTTAAGTCTTTAATCCATCTTGAATTAATTTTTGTATAAGGTATAAGGAAGGGATCCAGTTGCAGCTTTCTACATATGACTAACCAGTTTTCCCAGCACCATTTATTAAATGAGGAATCTTTTCCCCATTTCTTGTTTTTGCCAGGTTTGTCAAAGATCAGATTGTTGTAGATGTGTGGTATTATTTCTGAGGCCTCTGTTCTGTTCCATTGGTCTATATGTCTGTTTTGGTACCAGTACCATGCTATTTTTGTTACTGTAATCTTGTAGTAGTATAGTTTGAAGTCAGGTAGCATGATGCCTCCAGCTTTGTTCTTTTGGCTTAGGATTGTCTTGCAATGCAGGCTCTTTTTTGGTTCCATATGAACTTTAAAGTAGTTTTTTCCAATTCTATGAAGAAAGTCATTGGTAGCTTGATGGGGATGGCATTGAATCTATAAATTACCTTGAGCAGTATGGCCACTTTCACGATATTGATTCTTCCTATCCATGAGCATGGAATGTTATTCCATTTATTTTGTTGAGCAGTGGTTTGTAGTTCTCGTTGAGGAGGTCTTTCACATCCCTTGTAAGTTGGATTACTAGGTATTTTATTCTCTTTGAAGCAATTGAATGGGAGTTCACTCATGATTTGGCTCTCTGTTTGTCTGTTATTTGTGTATAAGAATCCTTGTGATTTTTGCACACTGATTTTGTATCCTGAGACTTTGCTGAAGTTGCTTATCAGCTTAAGGAGATTTTGGGCTGAGACAATGGGGTTTTCTAAATATACAATCATGTCATCTGCAAACAGGGACAATTTGACTTCCTCTTTTCCTAATTGAATACCCTTTATTTCTTTCTCCTGCCTGATTGCCCTGGCCAGAACTTCCAACACTATGTTGAATAGGAGTGGTCAGAGAGGGCATCCCTGTCTTGTGCCAGTTTTCAAAGGGAATGCTTCCAGTTTTTGCCCATTCAGTATATTGGCTGTGGGTTTGTCATAAATAGCTCTTATTATTTTGAGATACATCCCATCAATACCTAATATATTGAGAGTTTTTATCATGAAGGGCTGTTGAATTTTGTCAAAGGCCTTTTCTGCACCTATTGAGATAATCATGTGGTTTTTGTCTTTGGTTCTGTTTATATGCTGGATTATGTTTATTGATTTGCGTATGTTGAACCAGCCTTGCATCCCAGGGATGAAGCCCACTTGATCGTGGTGGATAAGCTTTTTGATGTGTTGCTGGATTCTGTTTGCCAGTATTTTATTGAGGATTTTTGCATAGATGTTCATCAGGTATATTGGTCTAAAATTCTCTCTTTTTTGTTGTTGTGTCTCTGCCAGGCTTTGGTATCAGGATGATGCTGACCTCATAAAATGAGTTAGGGAGGATTCCCTCTTTTTCCATTGATTGGAATAGTTTCAGAAGGAATGGTACCAGCTCCTCATTGTACCTCTGGTAGAATTTGGCTGTGAATCCATCTGGTCCTGGACTTTTTTTGGTTAGTAGGCTACTAATTATTGCCTCAATTTCAGAGCCTGTTATTGGTCTATTCAGGGATTCCACTTCTTCCTGGTTTAGTCTTGGGAGGGTGTATGTGTCAAGGAATTTATCCATTTCTTCTAGATTTTCTAGTTTATTTGCGTAGAGGTGTTTATAGTATTCTCTGATGGTAGTTTGTATTTCTGTGGGATCGGTGGTGATATCCCCGTTATCATTTTTTATGGCATCTATTTGATTCTTCTTTCTTTTCTTCTTTATTAGTCTTGCTAGCAGTCTATCAATTTTGTTGATCTTTTCAAAAAAACAGCTCCTGGATTCATTGATTTTTTTGAAGGGTTTTTTGTGTCTCTATCTCCTTCAGTTCTGCTCTGATCTCAGTTATTTCTTGCCTTCTGCTAGCTTTTGAATGTGTTTGCTCTTGCTTCTAGTTCTTTTAATTGTGATGTTAGGGTGTCAATTTTAGATCTTTCCTGCTTTCTCTTGTGGGCATCTAGTGCTATAAATTTCCCTCTACACACTGCTTTAAATGTGTCCCAGACATTCTGCTATGTTGTGTCTTTGTTCTCATTGGTTACAAAGAACATCTTTATTTCTGCCTTCATTTCGTTATGTACCCCGTAGTCATTCAGGAGCAGGTTGTTCAGTTTCCATGTAGTTGAGCGGTTTTGAGTGAGTTTCTTAATCCTGAGTTCTAGTTTGATTGCACTGTGGTCTGAGAGACAGTTTGTTATAATTTCTGTTCTTTTACATTTGCTGAGGACTGCTTTACTTCTAACTATGTGGTCAATTTTGGAATAAGCGCGATGTGGTGCTGAGAAGAATGTATATTCTGTTGATTTGGGGTGGAGAGTTCTGTAGATGTCTATTAGGTCTGCTTGGTGCAGAGCTGACTTTAATTCCTGGTTATCCTTGTTAACTTCCTGTCTCATTCATCTGTCTGATGTTGACAGTGGGGTGTTAAAGTCTCCCATTATTCTTGTGTGGGAGTCTAAGTCTCTTTGTAGTGTTGTACCCAAGCGAGTTAAAGAAATGCCACACTTTGAGACGAATTAAGAGTCCTTTATTAAGCTGGTGGCCAACGAGATGGCTAACGCTCAGAATTCTCTTGGCCATGAGAAAGGGGCTTGATTAACTTTTATACCCAGGTTTAGGAAGGGGAGGGGGACTCAAATGCAATAATTCTACAGAAGTAAAAACATGCAAGAATCAAAAGAAGCAAAATGGTTACAGAGAGATAAACAATTTAAAAGACAAATGGTTACAAAAAGAGCAATGGTACCAGGTGCAAGGTTTTAAATCTTTCATTATAATTAGATATAGGGTCTATACCGGACATGAACTCAAGGTTTTACGTTGTTATCTCCTGGAGAAAAATCCTGGGAACTTCATATATTGTTGGTGCTAGTATCTTAGTTAATTGGGCTCCTTTGAAATGCTGAGGATCTGTTTACACAGGCCAACTCCTTACAGAAGGGGGTTGGGTAAGGAGCCCTTTGTGTCTTGTAAATTAAGGGGTCAATTGGAGTTTGTCCGGCTTTCTCAGCTAGAGAGAGCCTTATTTACATGAGAAGCAAGGCTAGGTGATTAAAGAGACAAGCAGGATAAAACTCAAAGTAACGAGTTAGAGTAAAAACAAGGTTAGGCATTTCAGTAGGTCTCTAAGGACTTGCTTTATGAATCCGGGTGCTCCTGTATTGGGTGCATATATATTTAGGATAGTTAGCTCTTCTTGTTGAATTGATCCCTTTATCATTATGTAATGGCCTTCTTTGTCTCTTTTGATCTTTGTTTGTTTAAAGCCTGTTTTATCAGAGACTAGGATTGCAACCCCTGCTTTTCTTTTTTTGTTTTCCATTTGCTTGGTAGATCTTCCTCCATCCCTTTATTTTGAGCCTATGTGTGTCTCTACACGTGAGATGGGTCTCCTGAATACAGCACACTGATGGGTCTTGACTCTTTATCCAATTTGCCAGTCTGTGTCTTTTAATTGGAGCATTTAGCCCATTTACATTTAAGGTTAATATTGTTATGTGTGAATTTGATCCTGTCATGATGTTAGCTGGTTATTTTGCTCATTAGTTGATGCAGTTTCTTCCTAGCATCCATGGTCTTTGCAATTTGGCATGTTTTTGCAGTGGCTGGTACCGGTTGTTCCTTTCCATGTTTAGTGCTTCTTTCAGGAGCTCTTGTAAGGCAGGCCTGGTGATGACAAAATCTCTCAGCATTTGCTTGTCTGTAAAGTATTTTATTTCTCCTTCACTTATGAAGCTTAGTTTGGCTGGATATGAAGTTCTGGGTTGAAAATTCTTTTCTTTAAGAATGCTGAATATTGGCCCCCACTCTCTTCTGGCTTGTAGAGTTCCTGCCGAGAAATCCACTGTTACTCTGATGGGCTTCCCTTTGTGGATAACCCGACATTTCTCTCTGGCTGCCCTTAACATTTTTTCCTTCATTTCAACTTTGGTGAATCTGACAATTATGTGTCTTGGGTTGCTCTTCTTGAGGAGTATCTTTGTGGCATTCTCTGTATTTCCTGAATTTTAATATTGGCCTACCTTACGAGGTTGGGGGCGTTCTCCTGGATAATATCCTGCAGGGTGTTTTCCAACTTGGTTCCATTCTCCCCGTCACTTTCAGGTACACCAATCAGACGTAGATTTGGTCTTTTCACATAGTCTCATATTTCTTGGAGGCTTTGTTCGTTTCTTTTTGCTCTTTTTTCTCTAAACTTCTCTTCTTGCTTCATTTCATTCATTTGATCTTCAATCACTGATACCCTTTCTTCCAGTTGATCGAATCAGCTACTGAAGCTTGTGCATGCGTCATGCAGTTCTTGTGCCATGGTTTTCAGCTCCATCAGGTCATTTAAGGTCTTCTCTATGCTGTTTATTCTAGTTACCCATTTGTCTAATCTTTTTTCAAGGTTTTTAGCTTCTTTGCAATGGGTTCGAACATCATCCTTTAGCTTGGAGAAGTTTGTTATTACCGATCGTCTGAAACCTTCTTCTCTCAACTCATCAAAGTCATCCTCCATCCAGCTTTGTTCCATTGCTGGCGAGGAGCTGCGTTCCTTTGGAAGGGAAGAGGCACTCTGATTTTTAGAATTTTCAGCTTTTCTGCTCTGTTTTTTCCCCATCTTTGTGGTTTTATCTACTTTTGGTCTTTGATGATGGTGACGTACAGATGGGGTTTTGGTGTGGATGTCCTTTCTGTTTGTTAGTTTTCCTTCTAACAGTCAGGACCCTCAGCTGAAGGTCTGTTGGAGTTTGCTGGAGGTCCACTCCAGACCCTGTTTGCCTGAGTATCACCAGCGGAGGCTGCAGAACGCAAACATTACAGAACAGCAAATGTTACTGCCTGATCCTTCCTCTGGAAGCTTCATCTCAGAGGGGCACCTGGCTGTATGAGGTGTCAGTCAGCCCCTACTGGGAGATGTCTCCCCGTTAGACTACTCAAGGGTCAGGGACCCACTTGAGGAGGCAGTCTGTCTGTTCTCAGATCTCAAACTCCATGCTGGGAGAACCGCTACTCTCTTCAAAGCTGTCAGACAGGGACGTTTAAGTCTGCAGAAGTTTCTGCTGCCTTTTATTCAGCTATGCCCTGCCCCCAGAGGTGCAGTCTACAGAGGCAGGCAGGCCTCCTTGAGCTGCAGTGGGCTTCACCCAAGTCGAGCTTCCCAGCCACTTTGTTTACCTGCTCAAGCCTCAGCAATGGTGGACCTTCCTCCCCCAGCCTCACTGCCACCTTGCAGTTTGATCTCAGACTGCCGTGCTAGCAGTGAGTGAGGCTCCGTGGGCGTGGAACCCTCTGAGCCAGGCACAGAATATAATCTCCTGGTGTGCCGTTTGCTAAGACCGTTGGAAAAGTGCAATATTAGGGTGGGAGTGTCCCGATTTTCCAGGTACCATCTGTCATGGCTTCCCTTGGCTAGGAAAGGTAATTCCTTGACCCCTTGTGCTTCCTGGGTGAGGCGATGTCCCACCCTGCTTCGGCTCACACTCTATGGGCTGAACCCACTGTCTGATAAGCCCCAGTGAGATGAACCCAGTACCTCAGTTGGAAATGCAGAAATCACCTGTCTTCTGCATGGCTCACGCTGGGAGCTGTAGACTGGAGCTGTTCCTATTCAGCCATCTTGGAACTGGATCCGTTGCTAGAACTTTAAACAAGCCATTGAGAAGGAACTAGAATAATCAGAGAAGGTTGTCTAAAAAAGATGGGTCTTTGGTTGGACCTGACAGCATTGACTAGACTCAATGTGCAGTGGGAATTGGGGAAGGGAGATTCCAGGAAGAAGGATGGAAATAGATATAACACCTTGATGAGTCTAGAAAAGTTTGCCTCGGAAAACAAAGGGCTCTAACTGCCTCTTAAACACAGTTATCAATGTGGTCCCAGTCTTTTTTTGATGTCCACACTGGGGGAAAAGATAGCTAATAGCTAAGCATCTCTGCTCAGGTTAGGGGAAGGGCGTGAGGAGAGAACTACGATGAAAATGAATGCCTCTCTCCACATGTAGATCTGGCAGATTTCCCTCATACCAGGTCACAAGCTAGACTATATAAGGGTTATTGAAACCACTGTTTTCCCCTCAATCCAACATTATGACTCTTACTGGATGACCATACTTAATCTCTCAACTATAAAAAGCAGGTAGCGCCTCCTCCATACTTATTAAATCAGTTAAGATTAAGTTTGGCTGCATTTAACCACAGAAAGTAATAACAACAACAGTGTCTTAAACAAAATGGAAGTTTCTTTTCTTTCTCATGAAAAGAAGTCTGGAGATAGATACAGAGTCCAGAATTGTTGTGGCACCTCCACAGCCATCAGTCATCAGAGGCCTAGGCTCTATCTTGCTCTTCCTTCTTAGCTTGTTGCCTCATCTTGTGGCTAACATGGCTATTCAAGCTTCAACCCCATTTCACCTATGATTAAGTACAAAGGAGCAGATGGACCTGCCCCTTCCCTTTAACAAAACTCGCTATGTATCCCACACAACACTTTCATCTTGTTGGCCAAAGTAAAAATAATAGTTAGAATTTCTATAGCCTTTACTATGTGCTAGGCTCTGGTTTGAAAGCTTTACAAATATAAACTCATTTATTTTTCAGAGAAACTCAATACAACAGGTACAATTATTATATAATTTTACAGATGCAGAAACGAAGGCATAGAGAAGTAAATTTACAGCCAGTAAAGGATGAAGCAGAGATCTGAATGCAACCTACATAGCCTGATTCCAGAATATGTGTACCTAACCACAATGCTATACTGCCAAAACAAGCTAGACGTCACCTAGCTTCACAGAGAACTAGTAGTCTTTTTACTGGATGGCAATTAACTCAGCAAAATATTGAAGGTCTTTATTGGGGAAGAAAGAGGAAACTGGTGTGAAAAAACAAAGTAGCCTCTGCCATACCTATGTCAAAGGTTCATCAAGACAGTGTTTCTGAGAGCACTGTGAAATACAGTAAAAAGCAGTATACGTGGGGGTGCGGTGGCTCACACCTGCAATCCCAGCACTTTGGGAGGCTGAGGTGGGTGGATCACGAGGTCAGGACTTCAAGACCAGCTTGGGCAACATGACAAAACCCTGTCTCTACTAAAAACACAAAAATTGGCCAGGTGCAGTGGCTCACGCCTGTAATCCCAGCACTTTGGGAGGCCGAGGAGGGTGGATCACAAGGTCAAGAGATCAAGATCACCCTGGCCAACATGGTGAAACCCCGTCTCTACTAAAAACACAAAAATTGGCCAGGCATGGTGGCTCACGCCTGTAATCCCAGCACTTTGGGAGGCCAAGGAGCGTGGATCATGAGGTCAAGAGATTGAGACCAACCTGGCCAACATGATGAAACCCCGTCTCTACTAAAAACACAAAAATTGGCCAGGCATGGTGGCTCACACCTGTAATCCCAGCACTTTGGGTGGCCAAGGAGGGCGGATCATGAGGTCAAGAGATGGAGACCATCCTGGCCAACATGGTGAAACCCTGTCTCAAAAAAAAAAAAAAAAAAGCAGTATACATATAATGTTGGTAGAGCAAGTTGCTCTGTCAGTCCCCAGAAAAGTATTCGATAATCCTCTGGAAATTCTGGGACATTTTCTCCTGAATTGGACTAGGGAAACTGTGCCAGATCAGGGTTGGGAGTGGCAACTGCTATTGTTTGGTCTCTCCAATATAAGAATGTAAGAGTGGTGTTTGGTAGGGATCCCTTGGAAAATCCCCTTCAAGAGGAATGCATGCCTTTCCAAACAAAAACCATGTTACAAGGAAACTCTCTCATCACCAGACTGTTTTCCCTAGAGTATTTAAAGTCTTAGATATAGAGCTAGCTGATGCAAGCCGACTGCATGACAGCAGCTCAAATTTATTTTACTTTTTTGGATTCAACCAACCACCAATTGAAAATATATATTTTTTTAAATTTTCTAGTGGCCAAATTTTATTTATTTATTTTTAATTTCTTTTCTTTTTGTATTTCTAAATTTATTTTCTATTTCAATAGGTTTTTAAGGAGCAAGTGGTGTTTGGTTACATGAATAAGTTCTTTAGTGGTTATTTCTGAGATTTTGGTGCACCCCTCACCCAAGCAGTGTAAACTATACCCAATGTGTAGTCTGTTATCCTTCACCCCCATCCCTCCCTTTCCCCCAAGTCCCCAAACTCCAATGTATCATTCTTATGCCTTTGTGTGTGGAAAATACTGTGGAGATTCCTTAAAGAACTATCAGGGGAACCCACCCGCAATATTTCAACATAGGTTCTTTCTATTTTCCCTAAGTGTCAGCTGGCTGAGAAATAAAGAGAAAGAGTACAAAGAGAGGAATTTCACAGCTGGGCCTCCAGGGATGACATCACATATCGGTAGGACCATGATGCCCCTGAGCCACAAAACCAGCAGGTTTTTATTAAGGACTTCAAAAGGGGAGGGGGTGCAAGAACAAGGAGTAGGTCATAAAGATCACATGCTTCAAAGGGCAAAAAGATCAGAAGGCAAAGGGCAAAGCAAAGATCACAAGGCAAAGGGCAAAATTAGAATTAATGATGAGGGTCTATGTTCGGCTGTGCACGTATTGTCTTGATAAACATCTTAAACAACAGAAAACAGGGTTCGAGAGCAGAGAATTGGTCTGACCTCAAATTCACCAGGGTGGGTTTTTTTTTCCCTACCCTACTAAGCCTGAGGGTACTGCAGGAGACCAGGGCAAATTTCAGTCCTTATCTCAACCACATAAGACAGACACTCCCAGAGCGGCCGTTTATAGATGCCCCCCTCCCCCGCCAGGAATGCATTCCTTTCTCAGTATCTTAATTATTAATATTCCTTGCTAGGAAAAGAATTCAGTATCTTCCCTACTTGCACGTCTGTTTATAGGCTCTCTGCAAGAAGAAAAATATGGCTCTATTCTGCCCGACCCCACAGGCAGTCAGACCTTATGGTTGTCTTCCCTTGTTTCCTGAAAATCGCTGTTATTCTGTTTTTTTTCAAGGTGCACTGATTTCATATTGTTCAAACACACATGTTTTACAATCAATTTGTACAACAGTGGTCCTGAGGTGATGTACATTCTCAGCTTACGAAGATAACGGGATTAAGAGATTAAAGTAAAGGCAGGTATAAGAAATTATAAGAGTATTATTTGGGAACTGATAAATGTCCATGAAATCTTCACAATTTATGTTCAGAGATTGCAGTAAAGACAGGTGTAAGAAACTATAAAAGTTTTAATTTTGGGAACTGATAGGTGTCCATATTAAAATGAAATCTTCACAATTTATGTTCCTCTGCCACGGCTCCAGCCGGTCCCTCCGTTCGGGGTCCCTGACTTCCTGCAACAAAAAACTAAAAGTAGATCTACCACTTGATCCAGCAATCCCATGACTAGGTATCTACCCAGAGGAAAAGAAGTCATTATATGAAAAAAATACTTGCACACACATGTTTATAGCAGCACAATTTTCAATTGCAAAAATATGCAACCAGCCCAAATGCCCATCGATCAATGAGTGGACAAAGAAAATGTCATGGTTGGGCACAGTGGCTCACGCCTGTAATCCCAGCATTTCGGGAGGCCAAGGCTGGTGGATCATGAGGTCAGGAGTTCGAGACCAGCCTAACCAACATGGTGAAACCCTGTCTCTACTAAAAATACAAAAATTAGCCAAGCATGGTGGCACATGCCTGTAATCCCAGCTACTCAGGAGGCTGAGGCAGGAGAACCACTTGAATCCAGGAGGTGGAGGTTGCAGTGAGCCGAGATCATGCCACTGCACTCCAGCCTGGGCAACAGAGTGAGACTCCATCAAAAAAAAAAGAAAGGAAAGGAAAGGAAAGGGAAAGAAAAGAAAAGAAAAGAGAGAAAAGAAAAGAAAAAAGAAAAGAAAGAAAAGAAAAGAAGAAAATGTGGTATATAGATATATCAAGTAATACTACTCAGTCATAAAAAGGAATGAAATAATGGCACTCACAGCAACCTGAATGGAATTGAAAACTATTATTCTAAGTGAAGTAACTCGGAAATGGAAAACCAAACATCATATGTTTTCACTTCTAAGTGGGAGCTAAGCAGCTAAATGAATTTAGATACAGTATCAGTGAGGGTTCTCCAAATCAACAGAACCAACAGGATATATGTATATGTACATTAAGAGATTTATTTTAAGGAATTGGCTCACACAACTGTGGAGGCTGGCAGGTCCAAAATCTACAGGGAAGGCCTGCAGAATTTCTATGTCACAGTCCTGAAGCTGAATGCCTTCCTCTTGAGGAAACCTCTGTTTCTGCTCATAAGACATTGAACTGATTGGATGAGGCCAGCCCACACTGTGGGGGGTAATCGGCTTTATTTAAAGTCAAGTGATTATAGCCATTAATCACAGCTACAAAACACCTTCACAGCAACATGTAAACTGGTATTTGACCAAACAGCTGAACAAATACCGAGTTGACACATAAAATTGACCATCAAAGGTACCAATGCTATGTGCAAAAGAAAACTGTCTAGTCAGTTTTCAGCAATTTGTCTTTTAGAGAATTAATTTTGCATGAGGTGCCTAGTCCCTGAATACCTCGGCAGACCTGCCCCTAAAATACCTGGTCATGCCCTCCATACAATCAGTCCTCCAGGCTACTGCTGTTGGGCTACTCCCAGACCACGCCTATTTGGTCTATAATAGCAGTTGTGGGGAAGATTGGGCAGAAGCTGAACTTTCTCTAGGACTACCTAAGACAAACCCAACCCAACCAGTTCTATTGCTCCTGAATCTGCTAAAACATACTGATAAGAAATGCTGTCGACTTTATAGACAGAGAAGAAAGATCCAGCTCCTTCTCCTCTACCAAACTGCCCTAAACTTTGCCTGGAGTGGTGAGAAACCATAACCTTTAACATCCCTCTTTGCCTAGAGAGCCCCCCTTTCTTATCCACTACGTCTCTTGAGGAACTAGAAATGGCCTTAAAGCTTGTTTAGGTTTATATCCATAGTCCGGCAGTCTGCGTCTATGTAAAGATCTATTCATCTGGAGAAAGTACCTGCCTTACTCTCCTCAGAAACTAGAAAATTAAGCTTTCAGCCAGTTTACAAATTTTCTTAGGAACACTTTCCTCCAAAGAAATTTATTCTAAAGCTGGGTGCGGTGGCTCATGCCTATAATCCCAACACTTTGGGTGGCTGAGGTGGGCGGATCGCTTCAGTCCAGGAGTTCAAGACCAGCTTGGGCAACATGATGAAACCCCGTCTCTATTAAAAGTACAAAAATTAGCTGGGTGTGGTGGCATGTGCCTGTGGTCCCAGCTACTCAGGAAGCAGAGGTGGGAGAATCACCTGAGCCTCGGAGGTGGAGGTTGCAATGAGCCAAGATTGTGTCACGGCACTCCAGCCTGGATGACAGAGCAAGACACTGTCTCAAAAAAAAAAAAAAAAAAAAAAAAAAGAAAGAAAAGAAAGAAAGAAAAAGAAAAGAAATTTATTCTCAAACCTACTCTGTTTTTTTTATTTTTATTTATTTATTTATTTATTCATTCATTTATTTATTTTTTGAGACGGAGTTTCACTCTTGTTGCCCAGGCTGGAGTGCAATGGCGTAATCTCAGCTCACTGCAACCTCTGCCTCCCGGGTTCAAGTGATTCTCCTGCCTCAGCCTCCCTAGTAGCTGGGATTACAGGCACCCACCGCCATGCCCAGCTAATTTTTTGTATTCTTTTTAGTAGAGACGGGGTTTCACTATGTTGGCCAGGCTGGTCTCGAACTCCTGACCTCAGATGATCCACCCGCCTCAGCCTCCCAAAGTGCTGGGATTACAGGCATGAGCCACTGTGCCCGGCTAAACCTACTCTGTTTAACAGATAAAGGCAAAGCTTTGTGATTTCAAATAGAAGTTTCTCCCCCAATCTCTCTTGGCTCCCCATTCATCATGCCCTCTTGGGGGGCCCCTAAGGGGAACCTCTGAGAACCCCTAGGGCTCTGCCAGAGCATAGTATAAAAAGCATGATGCAACAGAAAGAATTCTACATATATAACCAGACAGACAGATATATATATATATATATAGATATATATATATATATAATACACACACACACACACACACACACACATATATATATATATATATATATATATATGAAGCAGTACTATGTTGAAGTAAAACCTTAATTCTGGAAACTTTAACTCCCAGTCATGTTTACTATCCTTGGACAGGTACTTAACCTCTTTAGGCCTCTAAAACTGAAATGATAATACTTTCCTTAAATAATAATTGATAAGAGTATATATAACAGAGTACTTTTAAAGTTCTACAAAAGTTAGGTATTATTGACCACAAGGATACTTTGGAAATCAAGGCCATGTCTGTGGGTAATGTGATATCCTTCAAGCTGGCCTCAATGGCTAAGGAATATTCTGTGGTTACAGCTTATAAACTAAGAGAGGAAGCTGCCCAGCTCAACCACTGCCTCCTGATGCATATGTCTAAAACAAAACTACATAAAGCTCAATAAGCCTGTCTGGGTTAGTTGATCCTCTGGTACTTTTTTTCCCATTTGAAGAAGCTGGTCAGCTGACAGGGGCTCAATAAGTTGGGGGGAAACATTACACAGAGTTAAACAGATGACTTTATGGTAGGATTTAACAGAAACTTTACATGAATAATGAATCTCTAAAAGAGCTTTGTAGTATGCAGCATCACAAACTTATTTAACCATAGAACACATTTTTAGTAGAATCACATTTTGTGGAACACCTACAGAGCAGAGTTTAGAAAATGCTGCTTCACAGAGAGGCACAGCAGAGGGCGATTTTATTATTACCATTTATTAGAATGTCCTACCATTTCTTCCTACCACTTGTCCTTAATCCTAAAAGATCCTGAGAGATCTCCAGAATGCTTCAAAGAGTATCACAGGAGAGCTTCACAAAGTATCATTTGATCTTTCCCCAGCTGAATTTTAGTATCAGCAACAACAGTACTAGGCTTTAAATTAAACTAGACTTGAAATGTTTCCATTAAGAGCCAAGCAAATAAATGGAAATTCAGGAACCAAGAAGTAACCAAGAGGCTACTTGGCAAAAGGCATCTTTTAGAATAACCACATTATGTTTCCTTCCAACAATAGTACCTGAGCTTGGCATGAACCTAGCCATGGAGATTTTTTTGGAAACAAAGCCTTTGTCTACTACACATGTCATCTAGCTTTCTAAAGAATGCTTTGACAGATGCACACATATGCTCATTGCAGCACTATTCACAATAGCAAAGACATGGAATCAACCTAAATCCCCATCAATGGTAGACTGAATAAAGAAAATGTGGTACATATACAACATGGAATAATATGCAGTCATAGAAAAGAATGAGATCATGTCCTTTGCAGGGACATAGATAGAGCTGGAGGCCATTATCCCTAGCAATCTAATACAGGACCAGAAAACCAAATACCACATGTTCTCACTTATACGTGGCAGCTAAATGATGAGAATACATGGACACATAGAGGTGAACAACACACACTTTGGCCTATCAGAGGGTGGAGGGCAGGAGGAGGGAGAAGATCAGGCAAAATAACTAATGGGTACTAGGCTTAATACCTGAGTGACAAAATAATCTGTACAACAAACCTGTGTGACATGAGTTTACCTATGTAACAAACCTCTACAGTTACCCCTGAACTTAAAATAAAAGCTAAATTAAAAAAAAAAAAGAATGCTAAACTCAGCCAAACAATCAGGGATTTTCAACCGGGCTATTATAGAAGTGTGTGGAACTTTTTCTTTTCAAATTATTTTGCACATTTAGACACACCAACACTCCAGCACCATACCTTACTTATGTGAAATTGTACAAATCCTATGAAGGGGTTACCCAGAATACTGAGCAACCCAAGCATGGAGGTGCACGGGTGTTTGTAGCATCCTGCAAGCAAATACCAAACATTTGTCAGTCCATCGAAATTTGTATCATCCCAACACATTCATGAAAATGATCACCAGAGGTCTTGTATCTGACAATTCTGTCTCTTAACTTGTAAAAAGGCACAATGATTACCCCATGGCAGCTATTTTACTGTCAATGATCCTCAAACTTGAATGTGTACCAGAATCACCTGGAGGCCTTTTTGCATACAAATTGCTATCCCATCCTCAGAGTTTCTGATCCAGTGTCTGCATGGTACTGGTACCAGCATGGTAATAAGCTTCTTCTCACCCTTGACAGAGATAGTCTGTGGACCACACTTCATTACATTGTCATCTTAAACATTTCGATCAACTGCCACCAGATAAACACTGGTACCTAGGCTGATTTAGACCCAACACATAAGCTTTGTTCAAGTGTGGAAAACTAAGAGAAGGGTTATAATACAATTCACCTGCAGGCTCATTTTCTAACAGTGATATAATTATTTCGTTAGGAAAATGTATTGTTAATTGATTAATAATTTATCAAGAAAGTAAAAAATTGTTTAACCTTTTTAATTACATGTAACTCATTACTTAGTGTGAAAACTAAAAGAAATAGAAAGTTCTAAGTGCAAAGCAAATATCTTTGACTTTATTGAAATGTTACAATAAGCTATATTTATCTAAACACTTTCTTCTCTGGCTGTGGTTTTCTTCAAAAAAAATAATAAATGAACACTTTCTTTCCTTCCTCTCTTCTTTTCTCCTTCCCTTCCTCCCTTCCTTTATCTAAGAAAAGACATCTGAAAGAAGATCATTTTCTTTCTTATTTGCTTCCGGGATCTTTTCCGGGTATTTGGCCCTGCCATTTGAGACTCGAAACTGTCATTCCTTTATTATTTCATTCAACAAATATCTAGTGAAAATCAACAATGAGCCTGACACATCACTAGGTATTAGAGATGATGTAGTAATTGAGAAAGACAAAGTCCTTGCCTTCGTGAAGCTTACATTCCAGTGGGAGAGACATAGAAATAACAAAGCAATTACAAAATATGAAAGGAAGTACAGAGTAAAATAAGAGCATATAAAAGGGGCACATAACCGAGATTTGAAAGTGAGGGTAGATAGTTGGGGCAATCAAGTTTTTCCAAAGAAAGTGCCACCCAAAATGAATCCTGAACAATGAAGCAAAGCTGAGGGAACAACAGAAAGAACAGTACTTCTAAAGAATTCAAGTAATTTTAGTATAGCTGGAGTATACCATTTGGTGGCAGGGATGGGAAGTAGAACAGACAATGAGGAGGGAAAGGCAAGTGGCAATACTGAAAAGATGTGCACTGTTTTCTCAATACCTCCTGTTTCCGTGTGAGTATTATGGAAAAACACAAATCGGGGTGATCACTTGGTTCACAAAGATACCCCAGTAGCCCTGTCTGTGCTGCCTCTCCTCTCCCTTCTTTTGGTGAACTGCTGTTCCTCCTCTCCAGCCCTAAGCATGTGGTCAAAATCACAGCTACCATCCTTTTCACATGAGTTTACATCCATGGCCATAGTAATTGGCTGAGAAGTGAACACTTGCTCCAAAACTGGCCATGGATAGGACCCCACCCGCCTGGCCATAGTGATTACTCTGGCGCTAGTCACATGACTCAAGACAAACCAATCAGAGCTCTTCCCCAGGTTTTCTTGGACTGGAGCTGGCAAGGAAGAACCCCTTCTTCTCTGGTCAAAGTGCCTTGAGGATGTGAGCTCGGAGCTAGCAGCAGCCATGTCTAGCACCATACGGAGAATCCTGCCTTCAACAGAAGAGAATGAAGCCAACACAGAGGGAAAAGCAAAGACAAGAAGAGAAGGTCCCGACAGTTTTTGAGCCTCTAGTTTTAGTCCCTAAGGCCAACACCAAGGTTGCAGAGGTTACCTTGTACTTCCTAAGGCCCAGCTGTTCTGTGCTTTCTCCAAACCTGTGAGCTCAAGTACCCTTTCTATAAAGTGTCCAACTGGGTCTCTGTCAAATGCTTGTATGCACTCTACTTGGCATGTTCCTCTGAACTGCTATTCTCAAAATGGGTATGTAACAGCTGTAAATTATGTAGCTTATTTTTACCTTGCTCAAGGCTGTTTTTCCATTGCTTTGCCTCATTTCCTTACATCTTTACTCATTTTCTCTCTTCTGAAGATTCTGAAAACAGTAACCAAAACAGAATCAGGCTCACACAGGGCTGGAAAGGCCTCCTCACATCTGCCTTGTTTACTTATTGTCCTGATAGAAACCATTGCTCCATGGGGCCAATTAGCTATTTAAAGGTGAAGGAAAAAATGACTAAAGTGGACCTTTTCAGAGAAACTCTCCACACACTTATAGCCCCTGGCTTAAATCGCCTTAGCAAGTTTTGGAAAAAGGGAGGTCACAAAGTTAAGGACAAAACAGTGATGTCCAATCGAATCCACTGTTGACTTTTACTCAACATGGCAAAAACAGAATTTACTGTCTCTCCCCTAAATTAACTCTCTGTCCAGGAGACCTTATTTTTTACCTTATCATTCTCCTAGTCATCTAGACCTTGACATTGTGTGATTTATCTTTTATTTTCCTCTCTCTAACTGTAGCCAGTAAGATACTGACTCTTCCAAATTATTTTCTTTGAGATATGTTTCATATCTAATCTTTCCTCTCCATTCTCACTGCCTGAACCTATATTCTGAATCCATCACTTCCTCTATAACCAATCTCTCCTTTTTTATTTTAAAATATTTAATTAACAAAAATGATATATATTCAAGATGTGCAATGTGATGATTTGATATACATTTATATTGTATAATGATGATCACATTCAAATTAACACATCCATCACCCACACTATACATTAGATTCCCAGAACTTATTCATCTTATAACTGTAAGTTTGTACTTTTTTATCAGCATCTCTCCATCTCCCCCACCATCCGGCCCCTGACAACCACCATTCTACTTTCTGTTTCTATGAATTTGACTCTTTTAGATTCCAGATATAAGTGAAATCGTATATTATTTGTCTTTCTGTGACTGGCTTATTTCACTTAGCATAATGTCTTCCAGTTCATCCATATTGTCACAAATGACAACATTTCCTTCTTTTTATGCCTGAATAGTATTCCATTTTGTGTGTGTGTGTGTGTGTGTGTGTGTGTGTACACACACATTTTATGTATTCATTCATTGTCTTTATCCATTCATTTATCAATGGACATTTAGGTTGATCCTATATCTTGACTATTGTGACTAATGCTGCAGTGAACATGGGGGTGCAGATATCTTTATGACATACTGATTTTATTTTTAGGGGACACATACTCAGAAGTAGAATTGCTGGATCACATGGTAGTTCTGTTTTTAATGTTTTGAGGAACCTCTATACTGCTTTTCATAATGGCTGTATTAATTTCTATTCCTACCAACAGTGTGCAAGCATTCCCTTTTCTCCACATCCTTGCCAACGCTATTATCTCTTGTCTTTTTGATAATAGCCATCGTAACAGGTGTGAGGTAATATTGCAGTTTCAATTTGCATTTTCCTGATGATTAGTGATGTTGTGCACCTTTTCATATGCCTGTTTGCTATTTATGTGCATGACCAATATTTTATATATTTGTCTGATGTTACTTCCTCACATCCACATCCCCAGCCCAGTGAAGGACCAAGGATAGGCTCCTGACCCAAGGGCCACCAATCTACATTCTGGCCAGTGATCTAAAACAGAACCAGGTATAAAAATATAAACTAGGGCAATCAGATTCTCTCTCAGGAATTTGCCCGAAAAATATGAGGTGGGGGGGAAGAGAAAGAAAGAGAGAGAGAAAGAAACAGGGAGGAAGGGAGAGAGAGAAAGGGAGAGAAATGAAAGAAGTAGGAGCTGAAGCTGAAAGAATACCTAGAGAGGAATATGAAAAAGTCAGAAATATAAGGGAAAAGATAGAAACCTGAAGGCTTGATAGGCCATGCAAACCAAAATTATAAGGGAGCAGGAACAACAAATTAAATAGGAATTAGGAACTATCCAAAAGCTAACCTGAGCAGAGGAAAACACTTAAGGCAGTCAGTAGTGAGGGGGAAGTAGAGCTGAGCCATTTTAATGACAGAACTCTAGGGTGAAAAGTCTTAGAACCCTGCTGAGGTCCCTGAAGCTGCCATGAAGCCAAGTACAATTCCCATGAGGTCCCACTGCACTCTGGTTTCTGACTTTGCTTCCCCTGAAACCTTTCTTTCTTACTGCTCTTTAACAATACCCCACCACCCCTTTACTTGAGATGACTCGAAAGTGTCTCTATCACTTGCAAACAAAAGAGCCTAATAAAAACAGTTCAAATCAAATATCTGGCTTCTGAGATGTTCATTACCTGGCCTCACCATGCCTTTACAGTCTTCCAGTCCCACAACCCCTCAATGAGAATATCCCACTTCAGAATATCGACTTTGCTAAACCATCACTGCCTATTCTCTGTGTATATATACGGCAGTCAGTTTCTGTCTCCATACCTTTGCTGGCACTTCTGCCACATATCCCCTTACTTGTCTTCACCCCACCAAGTTCTAGTCACCCTTTAAGCCCTGCATCCTCTTGGAAGACTTTCCTAGCTTTGCCATCCTGACATTGCTTCTCCCTGCTCTTCCCCTCGAATCCCTATAGACTAAATTACACAATCTAGCATCTCATTCTGTGCAATCTGCCATCTCATTCTACGCTGTCTTGTTTTTCTCTATTTATGCCAGGTTTTCTATCTCCTCAACTGGTTCTTGAACTCATGAAGAGCAGGAATATATTTCATATTGTTTTCAAGTGCCCCACTGTATCATTATTATTATTCATATTATTATTAACAAATGTTATCAAATATTTGTTGTTTGAGTGGTATCAACATGGAGCACAAACAATCCAACAGGCATATCATAGAACCTCATTACTGCAAAACAATCATTAATGAGAAAACTACACTAATAGGGCCCATGCTGAGTGTGGTCATTGAGGTGCTATCCTAAGAGAAGGGCTGAGCTCAAGGGAAGGCTCCCCTCAGACCCATGGGCCCTGTGAAAGAACCACTTTTTATTTCCTCCAGCAGGGGAGAGAGAAAAGGAAAGGCCTGAGACCTGGGAATGTCAACTAACTGCTTGATATCATGAGAGAACTTACAGCCTACTCTAGGAAAAGCATACAATCCTGACCTCAGCCTTCTTTGGAAACAAGTACCTCAAGGCATAAGCCAGGGAAATGTCAATCTTTCTCCCTTCATCCTGGCAGCTTAGGTTCTGGTTGCCCCTCCTGGGGGAAATGCTCTGGCCCCTCCTCTGAGAACAGCTCTCTTTCTAGGCCAAACCCAAGTCACCTTTGAGAAAAGCCACCATTCAATGTGGGACTTTTAAATATCAAGAGATGCCAAACAGTGCAGAAATCAAGAACTTTCCCTTAGTCAGAGCACTTCCATGCAAGAGGAAAATATGGCTCTACCCAGTGTCATTTCCAAAATTGATAAGGGACCCATACATACATCAGCAGTGCTATTTTGACACTCCATTATGAGTCATAAAATTTCTATTCAACACCCACTTCCTGAGCCCAGGGTATTATTTATTCCAAGGAATTGGTAAGAGGTCTCAACTAAGTGCAGGATAATCTGCTTCTGAAAATCACAGTTAAGAAAAGGGCAAGTTTCTTGTCATCCTCAGAAACTAATATGCAAAAAATAAATCTGACTAAGAACATGTGGGTGGGAAGGTACACGGGAAAGAGGATTTAAGAAAAACTTCACCCATCTTACCCACTCAAAAGCTATTGCTATGCTGCGCCTTTCTTTCTTGGTTTCCTGTTTTTGCTTACAGCAGATAAAACTTGATGGCAATGATCTTAATCTTCTCTGTCAGCCTTCCAAGCTCATTATGGGGAGGGGAAGGGCAGAGATTGTTCCTGTCTTCAGGCGGGAAACCAAAGTTCAAGAAAATGGACTCCAGCAGCAGATGGAAAATGCAGATAGTTCCCAGAGGCTGCTGTGCATACATCTGGAATACCTCCAGATCTGAGACAGAGAAGGAATGCTAATAAGAAATCTAGTTGAAATGAGAACACATGGACACAGGGAGGGAAACAACACACAATGGGGCCTGTCGCGGGAGAGCAGGGTGAGGAGAGCATCAGGAAAAATAGCTAATACATATGGGGCTTAATACCTAGGTGACAGGTTGATAGGTGCAGCAAACCACCAGGGCACATATACACCTATGTAACAAACCTGCACATCCTGCACATGTACCCTGGCACTTAAAATAAAATCAAAAACAAAAAAGATATGTAACTAACCTGCACATTGTGCACATGTACCCTAAAACTTAAAGTATAATAATAATAAAATAAAATTTTTTTAAAAAAGAAATCTAATTGAATATCCGAGAGTGTTCCCTGACCTCATGAATCTGTAGGTGAAAGATGCCAACAAACTTAAAGGGGATTTTTCATTTACTTGGCTGGCCAAGGGTTTGAAATTCTAATATTAAGAATTCAGTCATTTCATTTATCCTTTCCTATATTTGTTTCTTTTTCTCTGGAGTCTTCTTAAAAGGGCAACTACTCATAGGAGGGATTATACACACTCACTAACATTTTAGTGTGATTTAATCTGTCCAATTTTTTCACTGGGTGTATATGAAGAAGAAAGGAAGAGAGAATGTATGCAAAAAAGTCATGCTTTCCTGCATCCTAAAAATGGATTCACAATCATCTCTGCCAACTCATGAACATCAGAATGGGTGTCAGAGGCTATAAAAACCTCCATTTCAGACAATGTCTTCTTTTGGTCAAGGGGCCTGAAAGCTATTGAGTCCTTATGTGTTTGGGGGACAGTTCATTTAAAAAAGTCTAATTAAGAAGTCCTCACAGTGCCACCTCCTCCCCATCCAAAACCTACCACTACACCCCTTAGCAAAGATTATCTGAGCCTCCATGGCTTTACTTGTATTCCCTCAGCCTAGAATGCTAAGTCCCTACTCATTGCCTCAGTAGTAGCTGCTCCTTTTGCCTAGAAAGCTATTCCTCCTGATCTTCACATAAATTACACACTCCTGTCTCAGACAGGCCTTTCTTATCTAACGCATGTCTGCTCTAGCACATTGACAATGTATTTTCTTTATAACCCTTGTCAGCACCTGGTTTCATCTCATCATATTTGTCTCTTACTTGTTTAATGTTTTTGCCCCTCCATACCACCAACTAGAATTTCATGAGGGCAAGAATTGTATCTATTTCATTCACAGATGAGTCTAGAAAAGTGCCTAATCCGTAAGAAACCATACATATTTGTTGAATAAATGACTGGATAGATGAATGACTGAGTCCCTACACTCCACCCCAACCATAACTGAATGCCGCATTATTATATTTTTTAAAATATTGCTCAAGAGGGCCATTCCCAGCAAGACTCACCACTAACCCATTCATTCATAGTAGAAGGAGCAAGCACCCTGGTGATTCTTCATACCAAGCTCCCCTGTTCTAAGTACTGTCTGCCTGGGTATGACTTCCAAGGGAGCAGAGCTAGAGTAAATTCTACTTACTTTCAACAGCCCCAACTGCAGTATCTAACAGAAAGAGGAAATACTACATCATAGTAGCTCACGGAAAGAGAAAATCCTACCTCATAGTACTGGTACTGACCCAATAATGCAACCATAGTGGTGTGGTGTTTTATCACAGCGCTGGTTTTGGCCTCACTGAAATTGGCCACATATGACATTCTTTCAATATGTGGTTTTATGAAATCTCCTAGTACTAAGGACATAGGCAGGAAGATCCAGGGCAGAAAGCCAGGATCCAGAGAGCCAGCAATATGTTAAAGTAAGGGCTTAGACTAGGCAATAGGTTAGTACCTAGGCAAGGAGGTTGCCAGGGATCAAGAGGCACATGTGAACTCAAGGTCAAGGCAAGAAGGTGAAAAGCTGTAGGCTTTCAGTCTTCACAGCCCAAATCCATCTGGTACTCTAAGATACTCTAAGGTACACTAAGGATTCCCTAACAAAGGGTAGGGAAAGGCCTCTGGTCAAGACATATATATATATGTGTGTGTGTGTGTGTGTGTGTGTATATATGTGTGTGTGTGTGTGTATGTGTGTGTATATATATGTATATATACATATATATACACACACATACACACACACACACACATACACACACACACACACACACACACACACATACAGAATCCTGAAGACCTGCAGAAACCAAATAGGACAAAGTGAGAAAAAGAAAAAAACTAGAAGTGCTAGGCTCATAGAGACCCAGATTTAGAAGCCAATTCCTGTCCTGATCAGGAAGTTTCTTAGATGTTTCTTGTGATGAAAGAACCCTGTATGAGAAAGCAAGGAAGTGAATCAGCCAAACTTGATTAGGAAGGATAAGGAACAGGGTGAACAATAAGAATAAGGGCAAATTCTATAAATAGTTTTGTTGGAAATAGGTAAGCTCTGACTCTAGAGAAGCAGGGGTGTGAGGGGGAGGTTGTCAGAAGTCTTCAGCATGTAGAAACCAAAGTTACTATCAGTCAACACGTGACTAGGTATCAAAGAAGGAATGGCATTGTAGGAAACTGGCTCTGCCATGGAATCCTGATGACCTTACCACACATCCACATAGAGCATGCAGGCAAAGGCTGAACCACAGACTGAGTCTTGGTGGAACGCATTGTGCTATTTCTGGAACATTAGAGGACTAGAAGCCTATAAGGAGCTGCTACGAGGAAGTCTCTCACTCACTTCCCTCCCTCTCCTGGAGGGGCTGCAATGAGATCGTTTCTCATCACCTGCCTGATTCTGATGAGGTATGGGGTTTTCTGCTATGCCCCCCTTAGAACATAAAACTGCTTTTATGTATAATACATAAATGTACATTTAAATTTATAAAATATAAATTTTATATAAATATAAAATACAAATAAAAGTTATAAATATAAATTTATATTATTACGTATTATGGTGAATACAAAGCTACAGAACATAAAACTGCTTGGAGGCACCCTGGAATAGGCTCCTCAGCAATGGGGTATCCCACAGTGTGCAATGCAGTCATCCAGCCTCTTTTCTTTCCATGTCATCCTTTGTAGCGTATGGGACAAGGATCACAGGGATCTGGCACTTTAAGGCTTATTCTGCTTTCAGCTGTCTATGTAAATAATAAACTGTCTAAATCTAAAAGTGGTTCATTGTATCTTTACTGGTCAGATCAGTCAAGCCTTCGCCTTGACCTTGTATTATATGTGTGAGATTGACAGGCTTTGGACAAAAAGAGAGACAACCTTTTCATTTGTAACATGATGTTTACTGTGAAGGAATTTCCTGCTGAGAAGTTTGGGCTAAAATATTCAGACATGAGTTAATCCCCCCTGAAGAAATCCTGACACAGTCCAAACCCACTACTGAAACCAAACTTAGCTCCATGCTGACACACATCTACTTTGAAGCTATTGGCCATTTGCTACAGGGGGACAGGGTATCCCAGCAATGCAGTCTCACAGGGCCCACAGCCATTGTCTCTATAGAATCACAAAAAGTCATGTCCAGCTCTCACTTCAGGCAAGTCTCCACTTTACTCGTCTCAACCCAAGGCCAACTTGCAAAGATTTATAGAAAAGATCCACTGTGTTCTCTACTACTTCAATCTTTGATCTACTGGACATTCTTACTTAAGTTTCATGATTCTCACACTGTATTGATGGCCAGCAAGATCCTTCTGTGTCCCTACAAAGGCAGGGAGCCCAGTACTGAACACACACAGAGTGGTTGGCATGTATAGCACAGTCCTGGACCTCAGGAATTTATATTCCAAGGAGAATGTCAAACTGAAACACAAAAACAAACATTTAACTATACAATATATGGTGCTATGTAATAAAAAAAAAAGTGCAAACCAGGGGTTATAGAAGTGAAGAAGAGAAGGGAGTATTTGCTTCCAACTATGGGGATTAAGGATGACATCATAGTGGATATGTCATTTGAACTGGACCTAGAAAAAGTAGATAAAATGTCAATAATCAGAGAAGAGAGGATAATTGAGCAAACAGAAACAAGCAGAAAACATAAAAAGACCCTAGAATAAAAATAATTCTAGGAACAATGGAGATTTTTTTAAATTCTAATTATTTTCTTCAGACTAGTTTGAAATGATCTTTGCATCTATGAAATATTGACAAGATAGGCTGGGCACAGTGGCTCACGCCTGTAATCCCAGCACTTTGAGAGGCCAAGGCGGGTGGATGGCCTGAGGTCCGGAGTTCGAGACCAGCCTGGCCAACATAGTGAAACCCCATCTCTACTAAAAATACAAAAAATTAGCTGGGCGTGGTGGCAGGTGTCTGTAATCCCAACTACTCAGGAGGCTGAGGCAGAAGAATTGCTTGAACCTGGGAGGTGGAGGTTGCAGTGAGCCAAGATCTCACCATTGCACTCCAGCCAGGACAACAAAAGCGAAACTCTGCCTCAAAAAAAAAATGAAATAAAATATGGACAAGATATTACAAGCAAAAAAACAGAGAACAAGAAGAACCTTTGGAATTTAAAATATAATTGCCAAAACAAGAGGGAATGGATAGTGAGTAAATGGTAAATGTAAATGAATATAAGGATAACCTAGTCATTCAAAATATTGAACAGTTAAAGGGAGGAGAGTGAGATGAGAGCAGGCCGGCAACAAGTAGAATAGTAATAACAACAAAATTAACAGCAGCAGCTATAGATTACTTTGCTCCTACAAAGTGCTAGTTGCCTTACATATAGTACTTCATTTACTAATCACAAAACACAGCAAGGTAGGTATTGCTAGTAATCAATTGTACCAAATGGTGACTATAATAAATAATAACACATCGTATACTTCAAAATTTCTAAAAGAATAGGTTTGAAATGTTTTCACCACAAAAAAAGTATATGAGGTGACTGATTTGTTAATAGGCATGATTTAATCATTTCACAATATTAACATGTATAAAAATATCACATTGTGTCCTATAAATATACAATATATACAATTGTTATTTGTTCATTTAAAATAAAACAAAAAATAATAACAAAGAAACTGAGGCTCAGAGAAATAAAGGATCTTGCCTAATGTCAGACAGGTAGCAAGTGGCTATGGTATGTTGGCCTCCAAAACTATTGCTCTTAACTACCTCACTTGCAGGAAAGCAGAGGGGAAGCATCAAGGTAAGGAAGAGGTTGAAGGTGTCAGACTAAAAGGTCCAGACCTTCAACCTCTTTATGTATGGAAACAAGGTCCTTGGCTGTGCATGGTGGCTCATGACTGTAATCCCAGCACTTTGGGAGGCTGAGGTGGGTGGATCATGAGGTCAGGAGTTCGAGACCAGCCTGACCAACATGGTGAAACCCGTTCTCTACTAAAAATACAAAAATTAGCCAGTGTGGTGGCGCGCAACTGTAATCTCAGCTATTCAGGAGGCTGAGGCAGGAGAATCGCTTGAACCTCGTAGGTGGAGGGTGCAGTGAGCCAAGATCATGCCACTGCACTCCAGCAGCCTGGGTGACAGAGTGAGACTCCATCTCAAAAAAAAAAAAAAAAAAAAAAGGGTCCTTCAGGAGTTGAGGAGGGATAAGTTCTCTGGAATGAGTTGGGAAGTGGCAAGGTGATGGAAAATCAGCCTTCTGGGAAATGGGGGAACGTTTCTTCCTCCAAGACTATGAACACTGCTGAGAGGGGACCCAGGGAGGTTGAGACACAGTGAAGCAGTAGCAGATGTGCACCAAATGCAAGAGGACCTTGAAACCAATGCCAGCTCTGCCTCCAAGAACAAGCTGCTTATGTCTGATGACTCATTTCCCAGGACAAGGCCAGTTCTTGGCCAGCAGCCACTAAGAATGCTGCAGCAGGGCACTACTCCACACTGGTAGGCGTTGTCACACCCAGACCACCTCCATTGGTCTTCAGAAAGTGTGCCCAAAGCCTAAAGCCACCTCTGACTTTATGACATTGAACTATTTCATTCCATTTGGCCAATAGAAATGCAAAAAGGATGAGAGCAAACCAAGGAGGGGAGATTGCAGTTCCAAATCATTCCACAAAAATGGTCTCTAAATGCATCTGAGCTGGCTGCTTATAAAGGGCAACACAGGCACCAAAAAAAAAAAAAAAAAAAAAAAGAAGAAGAAGAAAAAGAAAGAAGGAAAGAAAGAAAAAGAAAAGAAAACCTGACTACCCAATCCTTAAAAATTGTTCAAGAGTAAAAGCCCCACAAGTCTGAATTCCAGAAACCCAAGGCGGGTGGCCTTTTCAAAGAGCTCAGTTGATTTTATCACCATCCCTAGTCTGAATTCGCTGCACATTTCCTCCCTAATCCAGGATGCGATAAGAAACCAACATAACAAGAATTCATCTTCCCCAGGAAAAGGTGAGCATCTCTGAGTTCAACAGAGACAACTGGAACCTAATTGCATTGCCTCTTTCAAAGCCTTCCAGTAAAAGTGTAAAACGAAAGAGGACTGAAAGAGGCTGCTTAGCGCAGCTACAATGTGATCACATTTTCTTTTGAAAAATGACACACCAAGTAGCTGCCATTTTTAGAAAATGGCAATTTCATCTGAAATCAGAGCAAGTGTCACTCTGCAGCAAAAAATAAAATCCTTGTTTCAAGAGCTTTGGAACCTGGTCCCCAAACAGCAGTATTTCCTGGCTATATTTGATTAATATTACACAAAGGGTAGGATGAAGGGAAGGTGGGTCTGGAAAAGGAAAAGCACCTTTGTGAAGAAAAACAAGTATGTGGCCTTCAGGGAGCTAAGCACATGTTTAATTTTGTGTTTTAAACTTCTCAGCAGACTGCAGATCTATAAAGGGAATCACTGAAAGTGAAGATAACGACGACTTACCCAAAGCATCATGCTGTTTTCCGCAAGACAGGGCGAGAAGTGAGAAAGCAAAATCTTTGCTTCAGTTACACAAACTCCCTCTCCTTTGCAGAGAAACTTGCTAGCTGAAATGGAGCCAGATGCTAATACGGGAGCCTCAGCAAACAGCTATGTGCTTGTCAAACACTGACATCTACTGGTCAGTTCTGAAATGGCTTCTTTTTTATTTCTGAAAGACCAGTCAACTAGACAAAAATAAATTCCCTTGTGCTTTTTATTGGAGGCTTTTTCTTCTTTGGCCCTTTGAAAATTCTTAACCCGTAATTTAAGTTTTACCTCTGTAAAATATACAGAGTTATTTAATTTATATTTTGATTCTTTAAGTTATAAGATTGTTATTAAATAGGGCATGAGAAAAAACGCAGAATATCTAATCAGAATTTGTTGAGTATAATAATCATTTCTTATATCCATAAAACACTAATGAGTTTCCAAAGCATGACCAGGTATATTATCTCATTAGGTATTCAACAACCCTGTGAAATGGGATGATCAAGACCATCCTATTTTACAGAAAGGACACAAAGGCCCAGAAAAATCTAGCTAATAAATCCAAGGTCATAAAGAAAGTCACAGGTGATGCTAGTTCTAGAACCAAGGTTTTCCAACTTATAGGCCAGGACTTTAATCATTGAGGCATTTATCTCCACATTTCCCCTTGTGGAAACAAATAAATTACTCTCAGCTGGTGAGTATAGAGGGAAAAGGCAAATGGGGACACGCAAACACACACCCTCTTTCTTTTGCTTTGTACTATTAAAGTCCCGACATGAACTAATGAGCAGAGGGAGAAAGCTGCTGTGGATGAGAGCTACACTCCATTTTAGTACTTCAAGAAAGATTTGGTCAAAGCTGATTAACCCATTGGGCATCATAAACCTTTCTGTCCAGCATACCAGAATCAGCCACCACAATGAAGTATGAAAATTGATCCTTAAAAAATGCACTGAAATGTCATTCAGAGAGATTGAGGGCCAGTTACTTAATGCCCAGATGTATTCACCCTCCCCCAACCAGGGCACACAGTTGCTTCCTGATAATGCTTACAAGCTTCCTAATTATTATCAAAATTAAAGGTACATAGGGAACCTTGAAACATGGGAGGCATACCTGAGAGCAAGGTGGGTAGATCATTAACGAAATTTCTCTCTTCTGTGGACAACTTACCAAAGGCATCAGAATTTTAAACTGGGACCTTTTTTTCCCCCGGAAGAATTAGCTGGGTTTCTAAAACAAAAATCAAACCATGGAGGTTGAAACACAAGTGAGTACTTCATAAATATTCCCTGGAATGAAAATATTGCCAGGAGATTTCTGAAGAGGGCATGGAGCATCTGCCTTAGAGGGCCACTGCTAAACTTGTCCTGTTGCCACTTTGCTAAGGAAAGGAGGAGCTTAAGAATGTTGTGGGGTTGAGGTGGTAGGGAGTTAAGAAAGACCAGCAAACTAGACAGCTGAGTAACACAAATCAACTCTCGGGGTTTAAATAGCCCTGTCCTGAAGCATCTTCATGTCTAGAAAACCAATGTATCAACTTCTACCATTAATGTCCCTTTTAAAAGGGAATAATGTGGGTTGTCATATCAATGCTTTTTTTCCCACTCCTAGGGATCCTGTCCCAACTCAGAGCCCTGACTTGACTTCTCTTCCCTACAAGACCTTTCTTTTAATAACAATAACAATAACAACAATAGTAACAACTGAGGCTAATTTACAGCAGGCACTATTTGAAGGGCTTCACATATATGAACTCATTAGTCCTCACAACAACCCTACCAGGTTGTTACTATTATCTCCACTTTATAGATATGTAAATTAAGTCACAGAGATTAAATAATTTAACCAGGATTTCACAGCTTCTAAGTGATGGTGCTAGAGTTTAAACCCAGGTCTGTCCAATTTCAGTGCCCCCTCACTTAACCTCTATA
Source organism: Homo sapiens (assembly GCF_000001405.40). Taxonomy (NCBI): domain Eukaryota; kingdom Metazoa; phylum Chordata; class Mammalia; order Primates; family Hominidae; genus Homo; species Homo sapiens. The sequence continues at coordinate 188,477 of NW_021160027.1, read as the reverse complement.
TCAGTGGTTTTCTTTTATTATTATTATTATTATTATTATTATTATTATACTTTAAGTTTTAGGGTACGTGTGCACAACGTGTAGGTTTGTTACATATGTATACATGTGCCATGTTCTCACTCATAGGTGGGAATTGAACAATGAGAACACATGGACACAGGAAGGGGAACATATATCAGCGGTTTTCAAAGTGCAGTTCCTGGACCAGCACCATTAGCATCACCTGGGAACAAAATTCTCAGCCCTCTCTCCCCACAACCTGCCCCCAACAGACCTACTGAAACAAAAACTCTGAAGTTTGGTTGTTTTAACTTTACTTTTACAAGACACACAGGTGATTCTGATGTACATGACAGTTGTGGGACTCACGCGCTACATGATACCGCCTATCTCTAAAGGGTAGTTGGGGATATAGAACCTTCAGCCCACAAAGAGTCCAGTCAGGATATTGCTTGATATCTTGCCATTTGCCATCTTATGATAAAACTGGAGCACGAGATGGTAATTCCATTTGATTGTGGGCCTAGGTTAATCATAGATGTTTGAGTATCATACCTTTTTCGTAGGAAAATTCCACATGCAGATCAGTAACAGTAGATCCATTTTTCAAATGCGGAAATCAAAGCCATTTAAGTCATTGGAGAATTGGGTTTCGAAAACCTCATTTAGTCCATTTTCCCTCCTCCAGAAAAGTAAACATAACCAATTTGAGGGCAGCAGGTAATTATCTCCATAAAAATTTTTAAAGTATCTAGAGACGGAATAAGAAAATAACTTTTGAGACTTGGACTGCAGAGTTGTAGTCTTTCAACCCAGGCGTCATCTGATCTCCTTTATTTTCTTTCTTCCCCAGTGCCATTCTTCTATAGTCTTTTTACCAGAAGGACCCAACTTGGCATTTTCCAAAGTGTGTATGTGTGTGTGTGTGCACCACACACGTGCACTGTAAGACTTTAATCCCCTGAGATGCTTGCAAGAAAAGGGTTACAGAGTCAAATCAAATTAAAATCAAATTAGCCTGTAAAGGCTGGGCACGGTGGCTCACACCTGTAATCCCAGCACTTTGGGAGGCCGAAGTGGGTGGATCACCTGAGGTTAGGAGTTCGAGACCAGCCTGGCCAACATGGCGAAACCCTGTCTCTACTAAAAATACAAAAAAATTAGCCGGGCGTAGTGGCGCTTGCCTGTAACCCCAGCTACTCTGTAGTCTGAGGCAGGAGAATCACTTGAACCTGGGAAGCAGAGGTTGCAGTGAGCTGAGCTTGCGCCACTGCACTCCAGACTGGGTGACAGAGACTCCGTCTCAAAAAACAAAAAAAAAAACAGCTTGTATTTATCGAGCATTTCCTAAAAGCCAAGTACTCTTTTAAGCAGTTTGAATATATTAAAACCACTCTGATGTAAATATTACCATTATCCCCATTTGACAGATAAGGACACCTGGAGCACAAAAAGATAAAACAGACTTTTCCAAGGTCCTATAAGGAGCAAGCGAAATATCCTAGCTGGGTTCTAAACCCAGAAAGTCTGCTATCAGAGGCCCCCACTCATAACACCACGGTTTACTGCCTCTTTTTGAGAAATTCTGCAGATTTCATCTATGATTTTCCTCTATCAGAAAAAATCTCCATATACATTAGCCCATTTGGAAGTCCTGCAGTAGAGAAATGTGCTTATATTTTATAACCCAATGTCTCCCAAACTTACTTGATCAGGGAATCCTGTTTTGTAACACCTGTTAAGCTCTCCAGAACAAAAGATCTTAAAAACACACTTTAGAAAAACCTAATTTGGCCTGAGGAGGACCACTCTTTTGCCCAATCTGTAAGTCATTGTGAGAAGACAGATGGAATAATGGAGAAAAAAAGTATGTGCATGTATATGCATGCGTGTGTGTATCTTAGAACAGTGCCAAAAACGGAATAAGTGCTATGTAAGTGTTTACTCTTGTTGTTGCTGGTAATGGTGGTGGTTGTGGTGGTGTCATTCTTAACACATATCTAATGCCTTTACTACATCTTTGGCTAATCTCGAAGGACAAGAAAGACAATTATATCATCATGAGGGAAAGAAGCTTATTTTATTTCTCTTAGAGTACACAAATGCAATTGGTATCACTGACAGCAAAGGCATCATGCCACCATCTCAGCCTTTGCATGGGCAACACTTAGTAAGAGGGAAACACAGCATACCACCCACTGTAATACAAATGCCTCTGTCTCTGTGCATATTGTTAATATTGGGCAGCTTCCTCCATCCCCGCCCCACTTCTTGGAAGCTCGAAAGTGCTTACCACCTTTATCCAATTTATTCTGGAAGTTTTGGACTATTTGCTTGAGTTACTCCAGTCAGATGGAGATTTGGCATGACATTCAGAAACCTTTCTTTCAAATCTCTGTGCTTCCAGGAATGCTGCTTGATAGCACCGAATATTGAACTCGTAGCGTGTTGGAGCAGGAGGCAGGTATGAGGAAGAAGGCAGAATTCCACGTGTGACAATTAGAAACCTCTCATACTGAAGAACAGGAGCTGGAAGGGCCCCAGGCTATCTATACTGTGATCAATCTGGCCACTCATGTCAGGTTACTATCATAATCATAATCAATAATTCCCCAAACCATATGAAGCTACAGGTAAAAGTGGGATATTAATGATCATAAACAGCATTTTCTCTGGTTTTCCCCCAAATCTATCATTACAGTATCTCTAGGTTCTCCACTTATTTCTCATAACCCCCATGGGTTGTCTCAAGTCTACCCATAAAGAAGCCTTCTCCACTTTACGGACTTCCTAGACCTTTGCTACCTATACCAAACCACAGGCACCTCATCGCTGCTACCAGTGCCTACCATGAAAGATGACAGCATTAATGTTTGTACCAAGGATACTGCTTAGTTCCCAAAGTCTCCAAGGCCACATCAAGCCACTGATGCTGCCTTGTACTGCTCTTTAAACAATATGGCACAAGGTGCTACTGCTGTGCCAATTACTAGAGACTGGGTAGCATCTGCAGCTCTGTGCTGCCCCTGGCATCACTGATGTGCTAACGCCTTCCAAGTGCCAAAGCTGAGTTCTGCTCCCTAGAAACCCCATGTGCCACAGTTGGCTATGTTCTGAGCTAACTCTCAATTAGGTAGGCATAAAAGCGGTGCTGCCTTATCTTTCTTCCAATATCCCACAGAGATCTTTAGAGAAACTACTGTTTTTTTCTGTTTGTGTTTTATTTTTACTTTCAACACCTCTTTACCTAAGATTTAGACATAAATTCCTGGGAAACTAGATCGATGGGTAAATCTTAATGGTGGGCAATAGACTATGCTCAGATTTACCCCAACTCTCCAACAACTAAGCCCATTTTATTGGACTGAGCATGTCCAATAGCATGTCTATTAGGGTATGTGACTCCCTTTCTTTCTTTCTTTCTTTCTTTCTTTCTTTTTTAAGATGGAGTCTCGCTGTTGCCAGGATGGAGTGCAGTGGCAGGATCTTGGCTCACTGCAACCTCCGCCTCCCTGGTTCAAGCGATTCTCCTGCATCAGGCTCCCGAGTAGCTGAGACTACAGGCACGCGCCACCACCCCCAGCTAATTTTTGTATTTTTAGTGGAGACGGGGTTTCACCATGTTGGCCAGGATAGTCTCCACCTCCTGACCCCGTGATCCACCCACCTCGGCCTCCCAAAGTGCTGGGATTACAGGCGTGAGCCACCACCCCCGGCCTGTGGCTCTCTTTCTAAGACACTCCTTATAGCCCATGAGGAAGTAGGATGAGGTGTCTCTTTACAGCACATCCAAAGATATCTGAATCCTAGTGGAAAACCTAGACTTGTCGCTTACTAGGCTGTCTTCTACAAGAGACTTTATTTCCAGCATGTCAGTTTTGCAAACCAATCTAAAAGACTGCAGGAAGATGCACTGGACTAGACAGCAAACAATCAGAATCCAAATTCCAGTTCTATCATTTATCAGCCATGTGATCCCTGGGCAGGCCATTTAACCTCCATCTACTGGGATAATAACTCCTGTGCCTACCTCAGGTTTGTCTATTCAAGAAGTATGTATTAAGCTTCTTTCTAAAGATAAAAGGCACAATTCTGGGTCTGTTGGAGATAAAATGAATAGTCACAGATTTTGCTAGCTAACATCATACAAACTAATGATAATATTTTTAAGAAAGTATTAGTTGAATACATAGTAGTTGCCCTGCACTTTACATGTTATCTCTTACCTCACAGAAACCCTATAAGATGTGCATGATTAAGCCCACCTTACAAATGCAGAAAACAAAAGTTTAATGAGGATCACAGATTTGTTCAAGTCACACATCTAGGAAGTGGTGGACCTGGGATTCAAATTCAGGTTTGTCCGAAGCCAGAGTATGATTTTTCCACTAGACCATACAGCCTCATGTATAAATAGCTATAATATGAGGTAGAAATGTATTCATTTCATAGGGCATAGATGAAGTGCCATAGAATCAAATGAGATGCATATGAAAGTGTTTTTATAAACAGTCAAGCTGACACAGTTATAAGGTGTTTCTGTTATTGTCATTAGGGTAAGTGCTCTATAAAATATGCTGGCTATAAAATTCCATCTGTAAATAGGAGTTAACCAAGTCTTGTAGAGATAATAAGAAAGGAGTATTTAATTTCAGCTGCAACAGATCATTGGAAGGCAACTGGTGCCTCATATTTGATCACTCTTCTAAATATTATTGCCCAGCATCTGTATATGGGCATGGGCAACCTATGTGAATGGATCAGAGCCCCCAGAGGTCAATGGTACGATCTGAGCAGAATGAAAATTAGTTCAGCACGTTGCAGCACACTAGACAGGCCTCCTGAGAAGACATATTTGGATGGGCTATTAAAGTCACTTGGTGAAGCAGGGCCTTGCTCAAAATGTGTGGACTACTGTGATCACTATGAGCAAGACCATGTACCCCAGCAGGATATGAAGAGCTGGCTTTTCAATGCAAACTGACACAGGGTCTCTTTATTGTGAGTTCAAGATCTAATAATCACAGCTTACATTTACTGAGCAGCTACTGTGTGCCAAGCACGGAGCTAAGCACAGTTAGAGTACATCTGAAGTCATCATATTGTGATAAAAGCTCATTGTATTTACCTGATTTAAGAACATGAGTTTTGAAGTAATACAATCCATTATCCATTCTAATTTGGACAAGTTAATTAACCTCTCTCTGAGACTCAGTTTCCTAATCTGTTAAGTTAAATAAGTTAATAAGTTTAATATAGTAAAACAATTAATACTATACCTATCACATATAAAATTTTCAATAAATGATAAACAATGTTGTTGCTGCTGTTATTATTATTATACTTTTCTGTTGAAAGTCTAGAAGGTGGCATTCTTTTGACTTCTAGGAAATGGTACTATAAAGTTCATTCTAGGCATAATGGTTACTATTGCATAACAAATTACTCCAAAATATAGCAGCTTAAACAACTCACATTTAGTATCTCCAGTTTTGTGGGAATCTAGACATGGCTAAACTGAGTCTCTGCTTTAGGGTCTCTCACAAACCCATAATAAAGTTGTTGGCCAGGGTTAGGGTCTCATCTCAAGGTTCAACTGAGGGAGGATCTACTTCCTAGCCCACTCATGTGGTTGGTGGCAGGATTCACGTCCTCACAGGCTGTTGGGTTGAGGTTCTTCACTGGCTATTGGCTGGAGCACACCCTTAGGTTTTTGCCAAATGGGCCTCTCCAACATGGTATCTTGCTTCATCAAAACCAGCAAGAGGGAGAATCAGCTAGGAAGATGGAAGTCACAGTCTTATAACCTAACCACAGAAATGATATCCTATTATTTTTGCTCTGTTCCATTTCTTAAAAGCAAGTCCTTAGGCCCAGTTTACACTCAAAGAGGATTACACAAGGGCATGAATATGAGAAGGTGGGGTTCACTGGGGACCATCCTAGGAATCTGTCTACCGCAGTGGGAAAGGTAATAAACACAAGAATCAAAGAAAAACCTCTAAAAGGCTTTGGAGTAGAAAATTAAGATTCAAAGTTAATTGTGAAAATAAGTATAGGCTATTAACGCAACAATTAATAAGGAAAGATATTTCTATGTGTTTTGGAGGCTTTGTTTGCCTCAATGATAATAAAAGGATCATTTTCTTTGGTGAGTGTTTATTTTTCTTAAGTTCATTTTATAATAAGATTTTAATCAATGATCATACCCATTTTACACATGAGGAAACTGTGGCTCAAAGAAGTTAAGTAACTCATTCAGGGTCCCTAAGAGCAAAGTTGAATTGGAATCCAAGTCTGTCCAACTGTAAAATCTATGCTTTTTCTGCTACACCAGGTTGCCCCCCCAACACACACACACACATTTAGCAAATTAGTGTGATTCGTTCCAGGTTTTGTTCATGTTTTAGTTTTGTTCAATGCCTTACTTTTGACTAAGCACACATATCTCCTGCCTTTACCTCCCATACCCATAATCCTTGCCATAAACTTTGTCCCCTCCCAAACTGGCAGTACTTGTTTAGAAATTTAACACCAATTGTTTATAATACTCTGCTAGAAGGATATTTTTAAATCAAACAAAACAGACATTTTGCAGGCATACATACAGTCTTCATTGACTAAACACCTAGTACAAACTCATGAGGAACTAACTTCATTAGATACTGAGTGGAATACAATACTTCATAAGACATAGGAAATCTCTACACTCAGGGAACAATGCCATATAGCATATACCAAGTGAGCTTGAGTCTCTCAAAGCAGACACTTCCAGATGAAGTCATTTCCTGTGTGGATTAACTGTTTGACACTGCAGAATGAATTCTGTACTGCATCACGTTTTCATGGTTGTACAGAAAATCGTATGTATCCAGTCCTCATCTGTGGTTTGGCTAGTAGGCTTTCTTGGATCTTGGAGATGGTAGTATTTGCCAAGGCAGGATTTCTCAGTAAGAATGGAAACATCAGTATGTATGACATGCTTCTATTTATGTTTTAAGGGTATATATGGACATATATATGTTAGTATGTGCTCAGATTATTTCTGGAAAGTTATGCAAAAAAAAAAAAATAGTAGTTGCCTCTAGGGATGGAAACTGGAATGTAGGTAGGAAAGAGAGACTCACTTCTCACTGTATAATCTCTTGTATAATTTGAACTTGCTAACATGTTTATGTATTACTTTTTTACTCAAAATTTACTTAAAGATTCAAAAAAATAAATTAGGAGTTCTTAACTAGGTAGGCACATCAGAATTTCTTATAAGGTTTTTGTCAAAATACACATAGAGAGAGTTTAACCTTAATAGCTGTGGCTCTGGAATCAGATTACATGCATTTGGACATCTCCCCCACTTGGCAAGACACGGGGCAAATTACTTGACCTCTCTAAGCCTCAGTTTGCTCCTCTGTAAATGGTAGCTCTGTTGTAAAGCCTGCTTTCCTAAGAGCTGGGATGAAGGGAGGAGTTATTGTCAAGGCCTAATCTTTCCTGGAATTTGATTCAACTAGAGATGTAAGGAAAAAGATGCTGTGATCCATCATCCCACATTTCTAGATGGGAATAGGAATAAGTAATCGCATTGTGTTTATGGATTTGAAATCAACAAGCAGTGACAAGACTTGTTTCCCCGAGGCATCGGTTACTATCACCAACAGTCTCTATTGTCTCTATTTTGTTTAAAAATAGGCCCCATTTATAGCTGGAAGAGGAAAAGTCTTTCCAGTCTTACTAACACTTTGCTGGTGATGAAGAGTTGTATAACACAACTTTCTCCTCATTCCATGGGAATTGAAGGGCCTGCTTGGCTTTCTGGTGTTAGATCAGAAAAAGGAAATGGAATGGTCTGAGAATTGGGCAAACCTCCACAGAGCTGACCAGAAAAGTCCTAGGTTCCAAGTTGCCCTTTCTGTCCATCTCTTTCATTTATGCTCCAAATCTACGGCACTAAAATTAATCCCTGCCTCATCATTCTAAATGAGCTTTCACTCCTTTTACCAGGCTGTAGCACACCAAAATACTTGGTTTTAAGCATGAAGAAGAGAGAGACTGGTGAAAAGAAAGCACTGATTGGATATTTCCAGAATTAAGAAAATTCGAGTCTGCTATCAATAAAAATAATTTCACCTAGGGATTTATTTTTCCAACATGGTCTAAAAAGATGACTGTTGTTAGTAGGCAAATGGAACACACACTTCTTAATCTAGAATGGCACAAATTTCCTGAGATATAATGAATCCTAAATGGCAGCTTCCAGGATATAACTATGTTACTCCAGTATGTAGTTCTCTGGTACTATTTACTCCATTAAGAGTCAATTCTGAAGTATTGAGTGTTATCCTGAAGTGGGGAGACTAGAGTGGCTTGTGGAAGTAGAAGGACATGATCGTGGCAGGGACATACAGCAACATGTTTCCATTTAAGGCCGAGGAATCAATTGGAGAAGATTTTACAAAAAGAAAATTCCTAGGTACTTCCTCAAATCTACTGAATCAGAATCTCCAAAGAGTGGTAACAGAACTTGTACAACATTAATAGGTACATAGCTTATATTTATTGAGTATTTTCTATGTGTGCCAGGTACTGTGCTAAGCATTTTGCATGCATTATCTTATTTAATCCTCACAACAATCCTCATAAAGTTTAAGTAGTACTGTTATCACCATTTGCAGAGGCCCAGGACTGTTCACATTGTGCTCCTTGTTACACATCTTTCCTCAGTGTTCTCCCTTGGTCCATTTGGAAACAAATGCTCTTCTGTACAGCCCAAATTGTTGGTTTATTTCCCCTGTAGCTTACCCATCTTACGGTTCTGCTTCCTTGGTGGAAATAAAAGTATGTTCTCAACTGAAAACCAGACAAGATCCAAGCCCACAGCCCTGCTTGCCTTGTACTGCTTCCCCATCTTGCTCAGGGACCTATAGAACATAGCAAGGCTGCTTTGAAAATTAGACCTGAAATCGTGCCACTGTACTCCAGCCTGGCAACAGAGCAAGACTCTGTCTCAAAAAAAAAAAAAAAAAAAAAAAAAAAAAAAGATCTGGAAAGAAATTCTCTTTCAATGTGCAAATCATTCAACAGAGGGATAGTGGAGGCCATAAGATCGTCTTTTGAAGGCCAAAGGGTCTTCTAGTTTTAAAACAGCAATATATGTCAACTTCCACAACTAGTTAATTACAACAATAATAATAGCTAAAATTTATTGAATATTATGTTTCAGTCACTGTACTATATACTTTAAATTTATTATCCCATTTAATTCTCAATATAACCCTATAAGGCAAGTATTAGTATTATCCCCTACTTTATGGGTGAAAAGACTTAAGGCCCAGAAAGGCAAAATGATTTGCCAGAGATCACCCTGCTATTCATTGATAGAACTGGGACCAAATCCAGGTCTGTCTGACTACAAAGCTCATATACTTAACCACTTAATCCGTAATGTCAGGACCAAAAGAAGAAATATAATTTGACTTGTCTTTAATTATGTGTGTGTGTGTGTGTGTGTGTGTGTGTGTGTGTGTACGTCTGAAAAGAAAAGCATTTTCTTTTTTTTCCCTCAACTTTTATTTTAAGTTCAGAGGTACATGTGCAGGATGTGCAGGTTTGTTACATAGGTAAACATGTGCCATGGTGGCTTGCTGCACATATCATTCCATCACCTAGGTATTAAGCCCAGCATCCATTACCTATTCATCCTGATGCCCTCCCTCCCCCTGTTCCCCCCAACAAACCCCAATGTGTGTTGTTCCCCTCATGCATCCATGTGTTCTCACCATTCAGCTCCCACTTATAAATGGGAACATGTGGTGTTTGGTTTTCTGTTCCTGCATTAGTCTGCTGAGGATAATGGCTTCCAGCTCCATGCATGTCCCTGCAAAGAACATAATCTCATTCCTTTTTATGGCTGCATAGCATTCCATGGTGTACATGTGCCACATTTTCTTTATCCAGTATATCATTGATGGGCATTTAGGTTGATTCCATGTCTTTGCTATTGTGAATAAGCATTTTATTTTCTAGTCTACTTGACCATAGGAAGAAAAGTTTGTAAATTAGTTGAATTTTTAAAAAGGATTGCTTTCTCAGAAATTTCTGATAGTAGCTTTGTGGCCTGTCTGACTGACATGATAGAAAGTCAAGATTGCAAATAAGTGTGTTAAAACTATTGTTCCGGCCTGGCATGGTGGTGCATGCCTGTATTCCCAGCACTTTGGGAGGCCAAGGTGAGTGGAAAACTTGAGTCCAGGAGTTCAAGGCTAGCCTGGGCAACATGGTGAAACCCTGTGTGAAAGAAAGAAGGAAAGAAAAGAGAAGAGAAGAGAAGGAAGGAAAAGAAGAAAGAAGAAAGAAAGAAAGAAAGAAAGAAAGAAAGAAAGAAAGAAAGAAAGAAAGAAAGAAAAGAAAGAAAGAAGAAAGAAAGAAAGAGAACTATTGTTCTGTTATCAAGCAGTATAAAGAGGAAGGAATTTCTTCCTCCAAAGTTCACATCTGAGGCGATTACCCAGCACCCAATTCATTTCTCAGGAGGAGAATCTCACTCTTAGTATCATCCCCAAAGCACATATTTCTACCTTGGTAGCATAGATAGCTAGCTCTTTTAGCCCAAATGATTACATACAGATCAGCAATTCTGAAACCCTACTCAGAGATTTTCCAGTTCTCTCCCTTCCTTTTAAGTAGATATCTTGAAAATGCTCCCACAAATACATTTTTAGTCCCAAGAAATGCAACGACTTTTCCCCTACCACCTATAATCAAATTGTCTCAGTAATAAGAAGCCTTTGTCAATACATGCCACTGCTTTTGGAGTGGAATGCAGAAGCCTAGAACCTGTCCCCTTGCAGCCCATGAGTCTGTTTATATTGATGGCCTCTCTGAGAGATAGGAAAGAGACACAGAGTTCTCAGTAGTGTAGAAACACCTTCCTTTCAAGCTGCCACCGCCTATCCTTTAGGTGGTTGAGCTATCAGAGATGGGAAAGGGAGGTGGCAGGTGTGGATTAGGTATGAAAGAACTAACTTTCCCATTAGAGTCAGCAAATGGAGAATCCATGCCCATTGCCACAAAACACTTAAGTAGTCTCTACATCTTGGTCTTTCACTCTGAGACTTTCCTTCTCACCCTCTTTAGTGCCTTCCTGTGTGTTCCTACCACACACACACAGTGGCATACATATATGTCCTGCTATACCACCTCTGCCTATGGTTTACTCTGTCAATCTGACTTCAAATAAGCCAGGGCAATTACATAGAAAAGACCCAGGCATAGGTTTACATTTGCTTACAGAATCAACTGCATGTCTCTGTAACTACACACACAAACCTTCTATGGGCACACCTCACTTTTCACCAAAGGACACTCCTGATCAAATTTTTATGATAGAAGCCAATTTAAATTCTAATTCAAATGACTTTCCTAAATCACTTTTACATGTACAAGCATTTATTACAATAAATTTAATTGATGGTGGGCACAAAATCAAATAAAACGTGGGTAGAGATACCTTACAAACTGTAAAACATTAATAAAGGCGATATGGTTTGGCTGTTTCCCCACCTAAATCTCATCTTGAACTGTAGTTCCCATAAACCCCACGTGTCATGGGAGGGACCCAGTGGGAGGTAATTGAATTATGGGGGTGGTTTCCCCCATGCTATTCTCTTGACACTAAGTTCTCACAAGGTCTGATTATTTTATAAGGGGCTTCCCACTTTGCTCAACTCTCATTCTTCTCCTTCCTGCCACCCTGTGAAGAAGGACATGTTTGCTTCCCCTTCTGCCATGATTGTAAGTTTCCTGAGGCCTCCCCACAGGCCATGTTGAACTGTGAGTAAATTAAACCTCTTTCCTTTATAAATTACCCAGTCTCGGTTATGTCCTTATAGCAGTGTGAGAACACTAACACAAAAGTTTAGTTGTCATCATTGTTCACTAAGCACACAGGGGTGATAATGAGTACAATGTAAAGGGCCCCACTGTAAACTATTTTTATAACATCACTAATTCTTCTTTAATGTGAATTTTTATACAAATGGATTAGAATACAGTGGGTATCATGTCTTCTTACCTTGGAGCAAACCTACTTCCATAAGACTCTAAAATTGTTCTTCATTTCTATTATATCCAAATTAGATTAGTATTTTTTTAAAGCAATGATGGATGTGGCATTAAAAGAGCATTGAATGAGAAAGGGTTTCAATTCTCTTTCTGTCATTACTTAGCTGCTTTTTATTGCTCCAACTTCCTCATATGTGTTAAAAAGTGGTCATAACATAATCCTGCGTATGTAATATGGTTATCGAAAAAGATAAAATGAAATAATATGTGAAGACAAAGCTTTCTAAAGCATAAGGCAGTGTGGTACACAGATGTCTTAGTCTGTTTGCGCTGCTACAACAGAATACTACAAACTGGGCAATTCATAAATAATAAAAATGTATTTCTCACAGTTCTGGAAGCCAGGAAGTCCAAGATCAAGGTGTAGGCAGGTTTGGTGTTTGGTGAGGGCCTGGTCTCTACGTCCAAGATAGCAACTTTAATTCTCTTTCCTCATATGGTGGAAGGGATGGAAGGGTAAAATAATAACTAGATCTCTCTAGCCCTTTTATAAAGCACTAATCCTATCTATGAGGGCAGACCCCTTATGGCCTAGTCACCACCTAAAGGCCTCAGCTCCTAATATGATATCATTGGGGATTAAGTTCTAACATGAATTTTGGAGGGGACACAGACATTCAGACAATGGCAGCAAAATTCTACAAAGATCTCTGAGATTTGGGCCCCTAGTGTACACACACCTTCTCCCAATTATTCAATCCAACATTAAGTGAAGCCGTAAAGGGATTTTCCCGATATAATTCAAGTTCCAAATTAGTTGACCTTAAAATAGGGAGACTATCTGAATGAGCATGACCTATCACATGAGCCCTTTAGGTCTGAGATTTAAAACACAAGAAGATACACATTGTTTGCCTATATCAAAATATCTCATGTACTCTATGAATATATATACCTACTACATACCCACAGAAATTAAAAATAAAAAAATTTCACTTTGAGAGGCCAAGGTGGGCAGATCACGAGGTCAGGAGATTGAGACCAGCCTGGCCAACATGGTGAAACCCCATCTCTACTAAAAATACAAAAATTAGCTGGGCATGGTGGCACGTGCCTATAATCCCAGCTACTCAGGAGGCTGAGGCAGGAGAATTGCTTGAACCCAGGAGGCGGAGGTTGTAGTGAGCCGAGATCGTGCCACTGCACTCCAGCCTGGCGACAGAGCTAGACTCTGCTTCAAAAAAAAAAAGACAAAAACAAATTTAAAAGAAAAAAAAATAAAACACAAGAAGTCGACATGCTGTTGCTAGCTTGAGGGTGGAAGGGGACCATTTGATAAGAAAACACTCCAGGAGCTGAGAGCAGTCCCCCACTGACAGACAGCAAGGAAACAGGGACCTCAGTATTAGAACAGAAAGGAACAGAATTTTGCCAGCAACCTGAATCAGCACTGAAACAGATTTTTCCTCAGAGCTCCTAGATAAGAACTCAGCCTGGCTGAAACCTTGATTTTACCCCATGAGATTCTGAGCAGAGGAACAAGCTGAGCCACACTGTACCCAGACTTCTGGCCTAAAGAACTATGAGCTAATAAGCACATGCTGTTTTTTGCTGCTAGGTTTATGGTAATTTGTTATGCAATAATAGAAAACTAATATAAGTGACATGGAGCTACCAAGCATTATTTTCTGCCAGCCATAAGTAGAAAGAAACACTAATTTTGGAGCTAAAAGATCTGGGATTAAATCTTAGATCTTGGCTGTGTAACTGGACACATCACTTAACTTTTCTGATTCTTTTTTCCTCACTTATAACACTGGGATAATCTATATTTATTAGGATTGTTGTGAAGATTAAATGAGGTAACATAAAAACCTGCTAGCATCATGCCTGGAATATAGCAGATGGTCTATAAATTTTTTCAATAACATTTCATAAACACGTATATTTATTTATTGTGCCCACTTTGTGCTAGGCATCATGCTATGCCCTTGGGATACGAAGACATTTAAGACATGGTCCACGCCCTCAAGGAGTTTAAAGTATAACAGAGACAGATGAGGAAATCAACAATTTCTATACAGAATGATCGCCATTATGGTAGAAAGCCACAGATGGTATTATGGAAGCAGAGAGAAGGAACAACTTGATCAGGCTGGGGGTTCAAGGAATGTTTCTCGGAGAAAGTGATGCTTAACTTGCAGTTTAAAGTGCTGATTCTCAAACTTGAATGCACAGTGTAAGCACCCATGGAGCTTTAACACACACCAATATCTCCCCACCCCATCAAGAGATTGTGATGTAATTCATCTGGGGTGTGGCTTGGGCAGGGAAAACCCTCTGAAGACGCAGCACGTGCAAAAGCCCCAAGGTATGAAGCTGCATCAATCAGGAAACTACAAAGAGTTCCACATGACAGGCATGAAGGTGGGTGTGTCAGGGAGTGGTGGTACGTGATACTGGAGAGCAGCCAGATTATGCAGGACCCTGTATGGTAACGTGAACAGTTTGGAGTTTACACAGAGGGAAATAAGAAGCCATTGAAAGATAGAGAGATGCATGATCAGATGTCTTTACATTTCTAAAAGAAAATTACTCTGGTTACCATGTGGAGGACAAGTGATTGAGAAGATATCAGACAGGTGAGGGAAATCAGTTGAGAGGTGTTCCAGTAAACCAGGTGAGAAATGAGGACCACACCTAAGACAGTGCACTGAGGATGGAGACTGAGTCGACGGGACAGGTTCAAACAATATTAAGGGAGTAGAACAAAAAAGACTTGATGACTTACTGAATATCAAAGACGGAAGAGGGGAGTCATTTGTGTATATCTGCATGGGGTGGGGACATTTAGGGTGAACATAGACTGGGATACAGATATGTCTAGGTATACCTAATAAACTAATATAGCCAAGCATCAGTTTCCTGGGTCCTGTGTTAAGAAGTGTGAGTTATTGGCCGGGCGCGGTGGCTCACGCCTGTAATCCCAGCACTTTGGGAGGCCGAGGCGGGTGGATCATGAGGTCAGGAGATCGAGACCATCCTGGCTAACAAGGTGAAACCCCGTCTCTACTAAAAATACAAAAAATTAGCCGGGCGCGGTGGCGGGCGCCTGTAGTCCCAGCTACTCGGGAGGCTGAGGCAGGAGAATGGCGTGAACCCGGGAGGCGGAGCTTGCAGTGAGCCGAGATTGCGCCACTGCAGTCCGCAGTCCGGCCTGGGCGACAGAGCGAGACTCCGTCTCAAAAAAAAAAAAAAAAAAAAAAAAAAAAAGTGTGAGTTATTGCTGTTAATATGATCTCTATTTTCATATCAAGATAGTCATCTGTGGAAACTTGCAGTAATCCTAGGAAGACTCCAAGGCTTCCAGCTTAGGAAACTGAGTGGACACATTTTAGTGAGAGCTTCCCTGGAAATTGCTCAAATTAATAATAACAGAAATCCAAGACTGTAAGTACAGGGAGGGTTGAACCTCACTAAGCTGGAACCACAATGCGATTTGGGGCCCTAGCTGGCTCTGGACCTATATGCTAGTGTTCCATCATTAACCCAACTCAGTTCTACTCTTCAGTCTGATTCTTTCTGTTATGTTACCAGATAGCAGATTTTTTTTGTGGAAGCAGAATGATATTAACATATTAATCATAATAGTTCCTATCCCATTATTTCCTGTTATCATTACTGTTTTCCCGTTCCTCCCACTCATACCAGAGGGCTCCTTGGGCGACAGAGAAAATGAAGCAGATGAGAAGCAAAATCATTATATGTTAGTGGGAATCCCTGTGCCCTACAAGCCTGAGCCAATTTCTTGGGGACAATCATAAAACCAAATGAATAGGCTGGGGGCGGGGTTCAAAAATAAACTGGACATGTGCCTAACTTCTTAGATGGAGCCCAGAGAAGTGGAAAGCCCTGCAGAGTTATCCCTCACCAATATGCAAAAGGAGCAATAGAGATGGTTGTGTCACATATCTATGCAAAGGAACTGAGATAGCCTCATGGAACTTCGCAACAGTGGTGTTAGGAGCAGTCAGATGTACCCCTCTGGGTACAGAGGAGCAAGGAAATAGCTGAGAGAGAGCTGAAATCAGGAAGACTTGGCGCTCAGGACAATAATCTAACAGTGGATGGCTTTCTACCACAGTAGAAAGTGAAAACACCACAAACATAGATGCCATCTGCAGCTGGGAAGGAGGAGGTTGGCACTCTGAATTCACTAAGGAAACCCTGAACTAACTGAAATTTAAAATGACGGAAATTAAGTTTCTGCCAACTGGCCAAATGGAAACTGAAAACAGATATAGGAAACAAATACGTTACATTTTATAATAAGTTACATAATATGGACTGAGATTCCTATCCAACTACATTTACTTCAAGTTGAGGCTCTTCGTGAAGGAAGAAATCTGATTGTGCCAGTTCATATTGCATGCTAGGCCATGGGGTCACTAGCCAGTGAGGAGATTACTGTCCTTGAAGTAGCAGGTGCTCATTCCTGATCCAATAAGGAGAAGCAGGTCTGAAATTATTAGTTGAGGCTGATTATTAGCAGATTGCTCTAAAAGAAATCTCAGTGGCTTAACACGAAATGGCTTAATGGTTTATTTCTCACACATGCTATAGTCTAATATGGAACATGGAGTGGCGTGGATGGCTTTGCACCATGCAGTCATTCACATATCCATGCTCTTTCCATCATGTGGCTTCTGCCATCTTTTAGGGTCTCTGGGTCTTCCACTGGATCCTCTTTTTCTGGCAGGTTCATGTGCCAGGCCTAGAAGTGGCACTCATCATTTTGGCTCACATTCCACTGACAAGAACTGTAATACAGCCCCATCTAGGAGCAAGGGGGCAGAGAAATGCCATCTGGTGGTATACTCAGGAAGAAGAGGAGAAGACAGACATTATTGAGCCCTACTTGTCTCAACCAGGGAAGTGAGGACTGAGGAAGGGTCAAGCTAGATGGCGGCAGTCATTTTCCTTTCCCCTCCCCAAAAGGTTCTGTACAATGCTTTTCACTAATGAGTAAAACTTAGAGAAGTTCCTGGAGTAACATCTGTTTTTAGAGCAGAAGTTTCCAGAATAGATAATTAATGCTATGGAAAAGATAGGAGGAAGTGAAGTTCCTCACATTAAAAGCTGCCTAACTGAAGCCTTCAGACACGAGGAAAAAAGCTTGAGAAAGTCACTCTGAAGACTATTGTATAGGTTGATTATAGCCATAATGACCCATAAAGCTTGGAATTCCATACTGTGTCAGAGCCTCCAGGTATGGAGCATTCTTGAATCTAATTTGTATTCTAACCAAAAAGTAAAAGGCCAACCACCAACAAACCAACTAAAAACCCCACCCAGTTCTCTTGACACACTTTGCTCTTAAGGGAATATGGACAGAAACACTTAACTCAAAGTGAACCCCTTAACTCAAATTGAGCCCCTGAATTCCAATAATTTAATATCTGTTGGCTGTGTGTTACATTCCTAATAAATAGCTTACATTTCAAACTCTGTTTCAGCAACTACTTCCACAGAATCCATCCTACAACATCAGACCAGGTCAGTTCAGTGACAATGCCAAGTGTGTTTAGTGCAGAAAAAAGCAAGTGACTTCTGGGGCACTTGGTCAGGGCTCAGGGTCACTGCTTGAATGGTTGCCAAGAGACAGAAGTTTGATTTTCTCTGGCCACAAGTCTCTGGCACTGAGAACTACATAGATTTGTTGAGGGCCCTGAAACTGAAGACAAATCTGATGACAGAAAGACAGAAGAAGGAGACCTTATCCCTGGGAAGAACTATCCATCAATATAGAGACTTAGTTAAATGAATTAGGATGCACTGCTACACCAGAATGATCCACAGCCCTTAAAAAGAAAGAAACAAAAGTACATTTGCTGACATGGGAGAATGCCCAAAATATATGGTTATCTGAATTTTAGAAAGCAAGTTTTAGAAAAACTTTAGTAATATGATACCATTTTAAAATTAACACATTTTAAATAAATTGGAATTTTAAGAATTTGAAATATTGTGATATAAAATATTTTAGCTTCAGTATATGTACAACGTTTGAAATAATGCAAGTCCTCCCAAATTAAAATGTCACTAAGAATCACATAATTTCAAAGTTGGAAGTCTAAGTGAACTGTAAGTCATGTTTACACTATTGCCACATGGTGGCACCAGTTTAGCTGACAAACAGAAATTCTGCCCTTCCTTTGTCAAGGCTGGTTTTGAATTACGCAAATATCTAATTATGTGGTGCCCTCAGGAACACATTCCTTGCATAAAACACAGCTGACCTGAGTACTGGTAGGCAGAACATCTGGAGGAATAGGTACCAAACTTAACCGCGGTCATCTCTGGAGAGTGGAAGTGGGGAGGGTGACTGTTGCTTGTCCATGTTTATATACTTACAATTTTATTATTTTTATATTCAGTAAGAATGGGAAACAATTTCTGATTAAAATAAATGCCTTCTTTGGATTCTTAAGCAAAACCCCAAGTGTATTTCAAATGCCATGCAGATGGCAGACAACACACACTAGGCAAGGGAAGAGGCATGACATCCTTTGGCCAGACATCTGGTGCTCCATATGAAATAGAGTCAAAGCCAAAGGAATGGGAATGCCTCAGCCATTCCGGCCCTAGCGATGTCTCCATCATGTCCAGGGTTTTTTCCCGGGCTCCCTCAGCATAGCAGTCTTTAGCCCAGCAATCATGCACGTAACCACTGGGCAGCATGACCTTACCCCTCCCCCTAATTCTGATCCTGGAGCTTTCATCAGCCTCAAAGGGCCCAGTGCAGTGGCTCATGCCTGTAATTACAGCACTTTGGGAGGTCGAGGCAGGAAGAACACTTGAGGTCAGGAGTTCGAGACCAGCCTGGCCAACATGGTGAAACCCCATCTCTACTAAAAATATATAAATTAGCTGGGCATGATGGTGCACGCCTGTAGTCCCAGCTACTCGGGAGGCTGAGGCATGAGAATCCCTTGAACCCAGGAGGCGGAGGTTGCAGTGAGCCAAGACTGTGCCACTGCACTCCAGCCTGGGTGACAGAGTGAGACTCTGACTCAAAAAAATAGAAGTAATAAAATAAAATAAATTAATTAATTGATAATGCCAAGATTGAAAACTTTGGCAGCTCATAATTTTGCTGAAAGAAGAATGGCCATCGTCTTTGCTCAATAACTGCAAAATATTTTCATATTTAGATTCCCAAAAACCAATTCAGATGACTGATTCAATGATGTTTTGTTTTTCATTTCTACATCATCCTTTTCTTTCTAGTCATCTTTGGATACACATCTGCTTTCAGCATTTGTCCACTTATAAACTATATCAAGTAAATTTTCATGTAGAAACATAAAAGTCATACATCCTTTTAGCAAAACAGGATGGCTCAGGTTCCTGTAACCAAATATTGCCTGATGAAGTCCTTCCTGTTGAATGACTAACTGGATAAGAATGCCATATTTCCTTTTTGTACTTGGACATATACTATTCCCTCATAGGTTCTTAAGTTTGAAAAGTCGTATCTAAGATATTGACATCTGTAGACTCACAGTCTGAGATTTCACTTATATGAGCAATTTTACCATCACCATTAGTCTAGAGTGCTGTCGTGTGTTTTGATTCATCTAATTTATCTAATCTAATAATTGAGAAATGTCTGTTCTCTGGGAACAAGTTGCTTCACTGAGACCTAGCTTCTCTAAACTTGGAACCCTTAAATAATAATAATAATAACAAAAAATGACAAGCTGCTCCTTTTCAACCTTGAGTAGCTTCCCACTTTGGTAAGAATAAAGCCAGATTTCTTACAATGGTGTCTAAAGCCCTCACAGTCTGCCACCTCATATTCCTCTGACCTCTAACTCCTTCTGGTCTCACCCTCATTCACTCTGCTTCAGCCTTACCAGCTTCCATGCTGTGTCTCCAATACTCCAGGCATGTTCCTGATTCAGGACCTTTATACTTACTAGGCCCCCTGCCTGGAACACTATTCTCACAGACTGCTTATTACTTTCAAGGGAAAAAACTGTAAGCACACAGTAGAGAAATTGGAAAACACTTTTTGAAAAGATGGTCAACGTTAGCATTATCAAAGGGGCAGATGGATATCAAGGACCTCTGTGATGTACTGAGATGGACACAGCACCACTTATGTAGTTTTCCAAACAGGGACACATAACCTCAATCTAACCATGAGGAACCATCAAAAAACCCAAAATAAGGAGTGTCCAATTTTTTTTTTTTTTTGGAGACGGAGTCCCGCTCTATTGCCCAGGCTGGAGTGCAGTGGCGCCATCTCGGCTCACTGCAATCTCCACCTCCCAGGTTCAAGCAATTCTCCTGCCTCAGCCTCCCGAGTAGCTGGGACTACAGGTGCCCGCCACCATGCCCAGCTAATTTCTTTTGTATTTTAGTAGAGACGGGTTTTCACTGTGTTGCCCAGGCTGGTCTCGAACTCCTGAGCTCAGGCAATCCGCCCACCTCGGCCTCCCAAAGTGGTAGGATTACAGGTGTCAGCCACTGCGCCCAGCCTTGGAGTGTTCTATTATTTTAAAAAAAGATCTTATTCTTCAAAAGTATCAGTGTCATAAAAGGCAAAAGCTATGGAAATGTTCCAGATTAAAAGAGGTGAAAGAGACATAGCCAAAGGCAATACCTGACTCTAGATTGCATCCTATGCTGGAGGGGCAAATAATGCTAAGAAGAATACTATTTAGTAAATTGGAAACATTGCCATAGAGTCAGTAGATTAGATAAAATACTGTATCTGCATTACATTTACTGAAGTTGATAATTATACCATGCTTATGTAAGAGAATATCATTATTCTAAGGAAATACACATTGAAGTATTAAGAGTCCATGATGATATATACATTACTCTCATACAGTTCAGGAATATATGTGCATATATACATACATACACATATAGAGAAAGAGAGGAGAGACTAAGTAAAGAGTATATGGGTATTTTTATTCTTATGACTTTTCTGTTTGATATTATTTCTAAATAAAAGGTTTAAAAGAATAAAAATAAAATAAAACCCAATCATTCCCCATCTCCTTATCTTGCTTTAGTTTTTGTCATAGCAAACTTCACTTCTTAATTTTTATGTCATATGTCTCTTTGTTTAATGCCTTTCTCCTCTCAACTGAAGTACAAGCTCTGTAAGGATAGGAACTGTATTTATCCTGTTCAATGCCATAGTCCTAGTGCTTACAACAGTACTGGCACACAGTAGGTGCTCAAAGAATATTTGTCAAGTGGACAAATAAATAAAGGATGGGTGACAAAAGTAATGACATCAACTAACCTTTAGGGGCACTTACAATGTGCCACACCTTATTCTAGGCACTTTAGATACATCATCCTATTTAATCCTCAGAAAAACCATATGAAGTAGTAGATGCTATTGTTTTTCCTATTTATGGATGGGAAAACTGAGGTGCCAAGAGGTAAGTCTCTTGCCTAAGATGACATAACTACTAGATAAAGGAGCTGATAGGTCTCACTCTGTCACCCAGGTTGAAATGCAGTGGCACAATCACAGCTCACTGCAGCCTTGACCTCCCAGGCTCAGGTGATCCTCCCACCTCAGCCTCCCAAGT
Source organism: Homo sapiens (assembly GCF_000001405.40). NCBI lineage: Eukaryota > Metazoa > Chordata > Mammalia > Primates > Hominidae > Homo > Homo sapiens. The sequence goes on along the minus strand of NW_021160027.1, from coordinate 166,794 downwards.
AGCTAGGACCACAGGTCTGTGCCACCAAGACTGACTAATTTTTTGTACTTTTTTTATAGAGACAGGGTTTTGCTATGTTGCCCAGGCTTATCTCGAACTCCTGGGCTCAAGCAATCCTCCCGCCTCAGGCTCCCAAAGTGCTAGGATTACAGGCATAAGCCACCTTGCCTGGCCTCCATAGCTTTTGTTCTTAATCCTTAAAGTGTATCTCTGCCCAGCCTTACTCTTGACTTTCCTTGCCTAGGCCTAGGACTGTGAGCCATAAATCTAGCTCTGTTTTCAGGTTCTTGCTGTTTACTGGCTGCCAGATTTTCCTGACATTGCTTCACTCTCTAGGTTTCTGCCTACTGTTGGAATTAGAATCCCTGCCCCAACCCCTGACCCAGCTCTGCCATCATGCCTGTTGAGGCTCCTGATTACCACTTGCCAGACCTCCCCATACTGAATGACAGACTTTTCCATCCCAGCTGGTATACAGAGCTCCTCAGCTACCTTTCCTGAGGCCAAGTGCCTGCACACATCACGACAGAAGATACACAGAAGATTGGCTTTAATTGAGAGAGAAAGGGCCAGAGGGTAAAATACTTCTGAGGAGGGCAGGCAGGGCCAGATTTAGTCCTTTAGAGGCCCTAAATACTGAAAATAGTACACTCTACCCATGCACCCATCTCATGTTACTCAACATAACATCTTAATTTTCAAAATGATACAACATTTACATGCGTACTAAAATTCAAGTAATTTTTCTAGATCATTTTAAACTTTTATTTCAAAATATAGATTCAAAAGAAGTTCAAAAGGTGGCACAAAGAGGTTCTATGTATCATTTACCTGATTTCCCACAATGGTTACATCTTAGGTAAGTACAGTACAATATCAAAGCCAAGAAATATACACTGGTATAAAGTGTATGTAAGGTTCTTTGTCATTTTATCACATGTACATGAGTATAACCACCACCACAATCAAGATACAGAACTATTCCATCACCACGAAGATCTCCCTCCTGACATCTCTTTAAAGTCATACCTACCAACCTCTTTCTGCTATCCCTAACCTCTGGCAACCACTAATCTGCTCTTTATTTCTATAATTTTGTCATTTTAAGAATGTTATATAAATCAGTCATACAGCATATGACCTTTCACGCTATATGATTTATTTATATAACATTCTTTTTAATGCTCTTGAGATCTATTCAAGTTGAGTGTATCAATAGTTCATTCCTTTTTGTTGCTGAGTAGTTTTCCATAGTACGGATGTACCAGTTTTCAGCTATTACAAATAAAGCTGCAATGAACAACTATGTATGTGGCTGTAATTTCTTCATTTCTGTGGGATAAATGCCGAAAATGAAATTGCTGGGTAAATGATAATTGAATGTTTAGTTTTCTAAAGAAACTGTTTCCTAGAGTGGCAGTACTATTTTACATTGCTACCAGCAATATATGAGTGATTCCATTTCTCCATATCCTTTCCAGTACTTGGAATTGTCAGTATTTTTAACTTTAGCTGTCCTATATTTCTAAAATTTTTTATTTTTATTTTTTAGAGTTTTGCTCTTGTTGCACAGACTGGAATGCAATGGCGTGATCTCGGCTCACCGCAACCTCCGCCTCCCAGGTTCAATCGATTCTCCTGCCTCAGCCTCCCGAGTAGCTAGGATTACAGGTGCCCGCCACCACACCTGGCTAATTTTTTGTATTTTTAGTAGAGATGGGGTTTTATCATTTTGGCCAGGCTGGTCTCGAACTCCTGACCTCAGGTGATCCACCCGCTTCGGCCTCCCAAAGTGCTGGGATTATAGACGTGAGCCACTGCGCCTGGCCCCTTATTTCTACATGTTTTTTCACAAAATGTTGATTGAGATCATCAAAGCTTGTCAGTGCATGTGTGTGCGTGTGTAGATACATGCATATGAGTCTCTCTCACATTTTCTTATCGGTCCCCGCTAGGCCAGTGATTCAAGTATATGATTAGTCTGCCTTTTGGAGAGATGTGCCTAGAAGGGATTTTTGTGTGTGCGTGTGGGATCAGAGGGATGGAAAAGAGAGATGGGGTGTAATAAATGAAATTGTGGAGTTTTCACCTACATATGGGAATTTGATAAGTGATAAATTATGTAATATTTCAAATTAATAATGGGAAAATAAATAATTTAGTAAAGAATCTTGGGGCAACTGGAAGGCTATTTGGGAAAAAAAGTTAAGCTGGTCTCTATCTCACTTCTTATACTAAAATTAATGCCAGATTTATCAAACATAATAAAATAAAACTACAAAAGACCCCAGTTTTTTAAAAGATGATTTGTAATACAGAAGGCCTAATTACTTTAAAAAAAACTAGAAAACATTAAGAAAAATATTGACAAATTCATCTACATAGAATTTAAAACTTTAGTACGTAAAAACATATACAAATAAGAGTTTCGTTATCATTCTTTAATGTTTGAATTTTTAATCAAATACAGGTATTCCTCTTTCAATTAGTGTAAAAAGTTTCTAAACGGTTAAATTGGACTTCATCAAAATTTAAATATTTTCTTCAAAAGACCTCATTAAGAAAATAAAATAATTAAGCCATAGAATGAAAGAAAATATTTGCAATACATACATCTGACAAAGGACATTCATCTAGAGTATATAAAAAACACAACTCAATAATAAGACAAAAAATAAATTAAGACATGGACAAAATATTTGAATAGACACTTCACAAAAGAAGATATAACAGTGGCCAGTAAGCCCATGAAAAGATTCTCAACAAAGAAATGCAGATTAAAACCACAATGAAATATCACTCCATACCTACCAGAATGGCTAAAATTAAGAAGGCGGACAACACCAAATGTTGGTAGATGAAACTCTCCCAAGTGGGATAATGTTTCAATATTACCCAATGGTAAAGATTTTTCCCCTTAGAGAGAGGAAGCCTCTGTTATGGAACAGGCTTCAGACATGTGTTACAGTGGCTTCTCTTCCCCTCCCCAGCTAAGGCCAAGAGGGCACCTTTCTATGATCCTCACCTTGAGAACCTGGTGGGAGTCCCCCTTGGATTGTAGCCCCCAGGAGTTTCTAACTTCCATGGTAGCCCACACACAACCTCTCCCAGAAGCAAGTATTTTTTAAAAATAATTTTTATACTTAGTCCTTATGGATAGATACATAACACTCATCTTGCTCTAGCCCTTGTCTTACCTAGTTGAAGCTTGTTTGTCCTATGTCCCAGTCCTTCAGGCCCTGCTGAGTGACAAGAGTAGATTCAGTAAACGAATGACTAATGGTGGCATAATGCCTTCTCTTCCCAGGTAATAGATTTACATTCTAACGGGAACCTTAAGCCAAGCAAGAGATGTGTGGTAAGGATTTCAGGCCCATGGCAGGCAGGGAAAGGAGCTAATTTTCTGTGCCCCTTTAGCCACACTAGATGCTACCTCTAACTCTAGCTAAAAGACTGACTCTGACTATTCCTCACTATGCTACATTCTGTATGTAATTACAAAACCCCAACATTTCAGAAAGGGACAGTCTTGGTGAGACTAGTACAGTGGTTCTCAAAGTATGATCTCCAGACCAGCCACATCAGCATTATCTGGGAATTTATGGAAATGAGAATTCTCAGGCTCCACCTTGTGAATCAGAAACTCTGAGGGATGGACCCAGGAATCAGTGATTGAAGAAGCCCTCCAGGTGATTCCAATGCATGTAAAAGATTGAGAAATAGGCCAGGCGCAGTGGCTCACGCCTGTAATCCCAGCACTTTGGGAGGCCAAGATGGGTGGATCACCTGAGGTCAGGAGTTCTAGACCAGCCTGACCAATATGGGGAAACCCCGTTTCTACTAAAAATACAAAAATTAGGGCTGGGTGCAGTGGCTCATTCCTGTAATCCCAGCACTTTGGGAGGCCGAGGCGGGAGGATCACGAGGTCAGGAGATCGAGAACATCCTGGCTAACACGGTGGAACCCCGTCTCTACTAAAAATACAAAAAATTAGCCAGGCATGGTGGCGGGCACCTGTAATCCCAGCTACTCGGGAGGCTGAGGCAGGAGAATGGCGTGAACCCGGGAGGTGGAGCTTGCAGTGAGCCGAGATCGCGCCATTGCATTCCAGCCTGGGCGACAGAGCAAGACTCCCTCTCAAAAAAAAAAAAAAAAAAAATTAGTCAGGTGTGGTGATGTACACCTGTAGTTCCAGCTACTCGGGAGACTGAGACAGGAGAATCACTTGAACCCGGGAGGCAGAGGTTGCAGTAAGCCGACATTGTGCCACTGCATTCCAGCCTGGGCGACAGAGCGAGACGCGAGACTCCATCTAAAACAAAACAAACAAAAAAAAAAATTGGGAATCACTGCTCTAGCCCAACATTTTTGTGTTACAGATGAGAACATTGAGACCCAGGTATCCAGGTTTACTAAGTTGATACCTGATAGAACCAGTGTCCTGACCCTCAATCCAGTGTTCTTTTTAATATACCACATAGCCCCAGAAACATGCTTGCTAACTACCAATGGAAAAGGTAGCAATCTCTTCCTTCTACTAAGAAAGAGCTTTAAATGTTATTAAACATTTCAGTAAACTCAGGATGGTTACCAAACATGTGGGATGAATCAAGTACAACCACATGTGTTCCAAAGGTCAATGAGAGGCTCTTCGTGCTTTTAGCATTAATTTTGCCTCCATTGACATCAGAGATTCTGGATAACAACCGCCTCAGACAAATATTTGTAGTGTTTGGCCCTCACAATCTTCTGCAAGCAGTTGGCCAGAAGAAACACATAAAACACAGAACACAGACGTATCTGGTCTTTTCAGAAACAGCAAATAGAGAGCCACTGAAAACTGGCTCCCTTGGGGCTCTGCAAGAAACAGCTAGCACCTCTGGCGATGGAGGCCAGCCACACCTCACTACCTTGAAAAGTAGGGTAACTCAGTAGCCACATCTTTTAAAAGGATCCTAATTAGTGGAGCAGCTGGGAACTCACATACATAGGCAGAGCCAGGCTAACTTGGCAGCCTACTTCCTTAGATCATGTTGAGACTGGTTAATGTATATGAAAGAATGAGGGTCCCGAAACCATTCACTTGATGTCTTCAGCACTCCAGTGCCATCATTACCACCACCATGATCCAGAAAATCCTAGACATAGCACAAGGAATGGTATCTGAGCAACAGTTACAGTTTGGGGAATAATTACAACTACAATGTGCAGCATACCATAGGGCAAAAGAAATAACTCAGGGTCAAATTAGCAGATAATCCACAAAAACTTTCTGTTCATAAATCATCACTAGAGAACAAGACTGCCTTTCAGAAATTAAGAAGTTCAAAGATGGGAAGATGAGAAAGGACAAACTCTTTGATCTTTCCTTCTCTTACCATCTTTCCTTTCCTCCAATTTCCTGAATCTAGGATTCTACAACTTTCTCTGACACTTTGTGGTATGGCTTGAACGTCTCCTCCAAAACTCATGTTGAAAATTAATTTTCTGACTGGGCACAGTGGCTCATGCCTGTAATCCCAGCACTTTGCAAGGCCCTGGGAGGATCACATAAGCCCAGGAGTTTGAGACCAGCCTGGACAACAAGGCAAGACTCTGCTTGAAAGAGGGAAAGGAAGGGAATGGAAGAGGAGAGTGAAAGAAAAAAGCAAGGGAAGGGAAGGGAAGAAGAAGGAAGGGAAGGGAAGGAGAGAGGAGGGAATGGGAGGGGAGGGGAGGGAAAGACAGAGAAAAGGAAGGAAGGAAGGAGGGAAGGAAGGAGGGAAGGAAGGAAGGAAGGAAGGAAGGAAGGAAGGAAGGAAATAAATAAATTAACTCCCAATGTGGCAGTGTTGAGAAGTGGGGTCTTTAAAAGTTGAGTGGATCATGAGGACTCTGCCCTCATGGATGGATTAATACACTCATGGATTAATGAATTAAAGAGTTAATAGATTAATGTGTTATTATGAGAGTAGAACTGATGACTTTATAAGAAGAGAAAGAGAGACCTGAGCTAGCACATTAGTATGCTCAGTCCTCCTCAACTATGCAATACCCTGAGCTACCTCAGGACTCTTTGGAGATTTCCCATCAGCAAGAAGTCTCTCACCAGAAGCAGTCCCTCAACTTTGGACTTCCCAGCCTTCATAACTGTAAGAAATAAGTACCATTTTTAAAATAAATTATCCAGTTTCGCCCAGGTGCAGTGGCTCATGCCTGTAATCCCAGCGCTTTGGGAGACCAAGGCAGGTGTATCACCTGAGCCCTGGAGTTCGAGACAAGCCTGGCCAACATGGTGAAACCCCGTCTCTACTAAAAAAAAAAAAAAATAGCCGGGTGTGGTGGCGCACACCCATATTCCCAGCTACTCAGGAGGCTGAGGCAGGAAAATCACTTAAACCTGGGAGCTGGAGGTTGCAGTGAGCCGAGATGGCACCACTGCACTCCAGCCTGGGTGACAGAGTGAGACTCCGTCTCAAAAAAATAAATAAATAACCCAGTTTCAAGTATTCTGCTGTAAGTAACAGAAAATGGACAAAGACATCTTGCATGCTTGCTTTCTTCCAGCCTTTCTTCTTCACTCCCTACTCCTTGTTTCTTCTCTTAGACTCACTCTCCTCCAAGTACAGTCCTCTTCCTGTCCTATGCTCAGGCATGTAGCCTGATATTCAGGGGAGGTCTACAGGTTGCACCTCTCCCTCACAGCAGACTTGGGGGAAGTAGGGGCCAGCACTGTTTAGGCCTGGCCTCCACAGCTGCCAGGGTATTGGGAATCACTCAGTGCCAGAGCAAAGCTTCTTTATCTTTTTAGCTCCCTTGTCAGAGGTGCATGCAGCAGCACTGCAGCTCCCTTAGCAGGAAGTCCTCCTAAGCAGCAGAGACAGCTGAGCTACTGATGCTATGTCTACCTAAGCCCCAAGGGCTCTAGCAGCTTCTGTCTCCCCTAGGCCCCAACCGTCACAACATTAATCTTGAAGCTAGGCTGGGTTCTGACTGAACTTCTAGGCAGACCAGTGTAGAAATGGCTATTGTCACCATCTCTGCCTTACATCCCCCAGGACAGCACTCCTGTCATACTTTCCATAGGCAAAAAGCCCCACAGACTCCAGTAGATTAAACTTGCTCCCTTTTCGTTTGGACTTGGTGTTTGGATTGTTAGCCCTCTCCCCAAGAAGCTAGATTTTACGCCATTTTTTTATTCCCCCTAATCTAGGTTTTAGTTCTAAGCTCTCCAGCACTTGCTCTCAGCATGCCCTTGTGGCTCTGTCAATCCCCTGCTGGGGCTGAATTATAACCCCTTTTCCCCCACCTCACATTTGTTTTTTTACCCCTCACTTTTTTCTATCTCCTCCCCCTTTACTTTTAACCCCACTCTGTAAATTCTTCTGCCTCTTCCCCTTCTGTACCTTCCTTTTCCTTTTCTGAATACCTCCTCCCTATCAAAATTATGGCACATTTAGTGTTTTACATGAACAAGACAGGGCAATCACTCTGTGAATGGGATTCAGTAACTGAAGTGTCTCTTTTTGACCTTGACCATTTTGCACAACCAATTTTCAAAGAAAATGGATTAATCAAAATTGATTTGAACTTACTGCCCCGGTCAGAGTCTCTGAAGCCAATCTTCCCATCACAATAATTTTCCATTTTCACTGAGGCTGTCAGGATGTTAAGATAGTCAAGGGCTCTTTGCTTCCCTCTGGCCACCAAAAAGCAATTTTCGCTAATGCTGGTGAGGATTACATTAAAATTGTGTAAAAGAAAGACATGACCTCTTTTTTGTCAGCTGGTGCTCATAAGGGCTATGAAGATGCTCTCTCTCAATGGCTCTAGTCACCAAGGCTGACCTGAAATGTTGTAAGTTCAGCCAGTTGGGAAGAAAGGAGGGCATTCACTTAGAATCACCATAATTCGTTACCATTGGTTGACTCATTAAACTTCACTGACTCCATTTCTTCCAAACCATTGTTCATGCTTCTTGAAATTCAGTCAAACCACCCATTTCAGATCTTTGGAAGGGGGAAGTCTGGTCCAAACTGATGCAGTTTAAATTGGTGTTCCCAACTGATTCTGATTAACACGGAGGTGGGGGAGCACAGACAGATAGTGATACCTGTGAATTTGAAAAGGCTTCCTAGATAAATTATCTGATGCATCCAAAACATCCAGTCCTCCAGTACTATAAACTGCCTTCTTAATGTAAAGCACAGAGTGTGACTTTAGGTGCCCCCCTCCCGCCAATCATTACCAGGTGGAAGTCTTCAAGAGGCCTGTAGAAGGAAAAATGCTAAGGCGAAGATCCTCTCGTCACATACTCACTTTTAAAACCCCAAAACATCTTACTTGCACATTGTATTCTTAAGTAAAACAACTGGCCTTGGCAACAGAAGCATCAACAGAACTATAATGTGCTGATTCACTACTAGATCTTCTATTGTTATCTTTGACAAGAATGCCTGAAAATAATATTCTATGTGTTTCTAGGAAAAGAGGCTGTCTTGGGCTATTAAGGCTGCTATAACAAAATACCATTAAATGGGTACCTTATGAACAGAAATTTATTTCTCATAGTTCCAGAGGCTGGGAAGTCAAAGATCAAGGTGCCAGCAGATCCAGTGTCTGGTGAGGGCTCATTCTCTGCTTCAAAGATGGCACCTTCTTGCTGTGTCCTCACATGGTGTAAGAGACTAGCTAGCTCTCTGGGGTTTCTTTTATAAGGGCACTTAATCCCTTCATGAATGGGATGAATCTCCTTCCAAAAGCCCTCCTCTTAATATTATCACAATGGAAGTTAGGTTTCAACACATGAATTGTTGCGGGAACACAAATATTCAGAACACAGCAGAGGCCATATGAGCACTTTTTTTCAGTAGAAAAAAAAAGCCCCATGTTTTCAAACAGCTACTTAAGCACCAAGAAAACCTTCCTCAAATTAGATCCCCATTTGCTCAAAGTCTTCTCTGTTTAAAATTGGCAGTGGGCAAACTGACCACTGGTTTTAGTCCTTGATTCTAATAATCTAATTTGCCCAAAGGATTATGTGCAGTGCACAGCTGGGGCTTTTCTATCCATGGGAAATAAATTATCACTCTCATTCCTAAACATTGGCCCTGATACCTGGGCTGGGATTCTCCCTAGGGAAGTCCTGTAATTTCATTGTGCATTAAGTCTGTATGTTCTTCTGTCTTCCTGCATTCATTTATTCACTCAAATATTTATAGAATGCCTACTATTTGCCAGTCTATTGGCTGGGTACTAATTAGAGAATAGCATCAAGCAAGATAGTCAAAATGTCTTCCCTCAAAGAGTTTATAATCTGGTTTTTTTCCTGGGTCACGTTGTTATATTCTTGACTCATACTCCTTTCCTAAGCCTCTTACCTGTACCAGGTGTTTCTACCCTCCTCCTTGGACGAGTTGTAGGCATTAAATCCAGTCCATAGGGGTCTCCTGCCTTAACCCCATCCCCAAGATCCAATGCCAGTCAGAGGATCTTGATAGGAAAGTAAAAAATCCAGACAAGTCAATATCGCTCCTTACTCTAGTCCTTTCTTTTGCCCAGTCATTATCTATCCATCTATACTCAGATTATTGAAACCCACATCACAGGAATCTGATGGACAGGTCTGTGATTGTTCCTTTTTCCTTTGTGTTCCTAGACACTCCCCAGTAAACCACCGGACTTGTATGGTGCTCTGTACATTCAAATTAGAACTATGGTCATATTACCCTCATATACAGTCTCAGACCTGTACATGAAATAAAGATATAGACATAATTCAAAACCTGTATCAATCAGTGTCCCAGCAGGAAATAGATGGCACACTCAAAATGGCTATTTTGGAGAGGGGTAAGGGTCAATATTAATAAATGGACTATTTATAAAGGTGTAGGCAGGGTAACTCAGGGCTAGGAAGAGGATTTGGAGATGCCTTTACCATCATAGCCTGACTAAGAAAAGGGAGACTTTTGATGTCATCCCTACAGGTCAGCTTCCCAGGGTAGAGTGCAGGAGGGAAGACTGGAGTGAGGACCTGAAGAGGCAGACAAAAACTATCTAGCGCAGAACTTCTCATTCAAATTTTGCAGTAATTCAGACCAGGGCTGAGATCAAGGTATTGTGCATTGATCTGGGAAAATCAGCTTTGTTAAGCAAATGAGTAGGCTCATTTTTAAACTATGAAAGAACTCATTTGCATAGAACAGTGAATGACTTTTTTAATGTATTTATTAAAATAGGCCTCACTTTGACACTTTGTTAGCATTAGATTATGTTACTAAATGTGACTGAAAAAAATGAAACGAGACTGCACTTATTTAAAACAGTCTGGATTTCAGATTTACAGCTAATTCCGATTGATTTCCTTGCACCCTGTCCCCCACCAAAAATAAAAACTGGGCATACCAAATTAAGGAGCTTCGATGCTTAAAGTAACATCATAACACTGTTATCAGTTAACTAAACACTGCTCTTCTGCAGTCCATTAGAAGAACCTAGTAACAAGAAAACAGGTTGATATTAAAACTTTTACTTTAAAAAGTAATAACAGTAAATGGACCCCATTCCCAAGGCTGCCATCACATAGCCCAGGCTCCTGACCCTCTCTCTCTGCCTCCATTTCTAACCTAGAACAGTCTTCCAAGATGGCTAGCAGGATAATGCTAAAGCCCTGTCTGAAGTCCAGAAATTAAACACAATAGAGTCCATGATGAGCAAGACACTGATCACTGAGGTTGCGTCTCAGCATCAGACAGACTAGCTTGGGCATTTATCAGCTAAGACACCTCAGGTGAGCGGTTTAATTTCTCCAAGCCTCGGTTTCCTCAACTTTAAAATGGGAATAAAGAAAACATCTACATCATCAGTTGTTACAGGGATTGCATAAGGTTCTGTGTGTAAAACACCTAGCACAGTGCCTGGCACATTACATGCACACAGTAAACACTTTGATTGTCACACTCAGAAACAAGAGCTAATTTAAAGAAAAGAGGGAAAAAAACAAAGGTGAGAAGTGGGTTACCTTTCAATTAACTAAAATGTTACATTGCCCAGACTCCCATTCCCTGAGGGATCCCATTAAATTCACATTTATGGTATTGATTTTTTTCCAGGACAACAACCATTTTACACATTAAACATCTCTACCTCCTGCTATTTTATAGGTGGCTACTATAATAAGATCTCCACTCACATCAATTCAGAAGTCTATCTTTTTCCTCTGTCAAAAGCAGGAAATAAAGCTGGATAAGAGACCTAGGTCACTATGGGGGATGGAAATGTATCTAAGAATCCCCAAAGAATAGGTCAGGAGGGGGATCTGAAGTGGAATAAGAGGCTTAAGAGGAAGAAATTCAAATTGCTATGGCAGGTTTGTTTGGCTCTTGATCCAGAGAAGCCACATCTGCAAATGTTACACACACTGTCACGTGTTAGTTACTTCCCTTTTTCAAAAGGCACAAAGTCCTAGGTCACAAACCACCCCACCCCTCCCCCTAACCCAACAAGGTGAGAGAACAGGAGAGTTCAAGAACACTCAAACAAATAATACTTCCCCAACCCCTGACATAGCCTCCCTTTTTCCATGCTTGCTACTCTATAATTTATCCTCCCCACAACAGCCAGTGTGATCCCTTTTAATTCAGATCACACCACTCCTCTGCTTAAACCCATCCAATGTCTTTTTGTCTCACTCAAATTAAAAGTCCTAATCCTTACAATGGCCTACAAGGCCCTAAGCAACTTGCTAATCTGGTGTCACTAACCCCATGAACTCTCTAACCTCATCTTCTACCTCTCTTCCCCTCACTCACTTCCCTCCAGCCACACTAGACTTCTTTTCCTAGAACACACCAAACGCACTCCTGAATCAAGATCTTTGTTCTGGCTGTGACCTCTGCCAAGAATCTCTTTCTCCAGATTTTTGCATGGCTGACACCAGAAACCTTTTACAGGTTTTCCTCATTGTCCCTTTCTCTGTGAAACTTTCTTTGACCACCCTAATTCAAATTCGATCACACATCACTTCTGGCATTCTCAATCTCCCTTCCTTACTTTCTTTTTCTTCATTGTACTTATCGTCATTTAACATAACACATATCTTATTACCTTATTGTCTGTCTTTCCCATTAAAACATCGTACTCCATGATGGTAGGGATATTTGTCTCTTTTGTTCATGGATGTATTCCCAGGGCGTATAACAATGCCTGGTACATGATAAGCACTCACTATTTGTGGAATAAGTGAATTCACCTAGTTTAAAGTAACGGCCTTACCCTTACGGCATAATGTTTAGAAAAAAAAAATGTGTGTGTGTGTCTTTTTTTAAATAAAGAAGTGGCCTTCAACCCTGACTATACATTAGAATCATCTGGGCAGAGGGCTTTTTAAATCTATTCATACCAGATAATTCAGAATCTCCAAGAGTAGGACCCAGGAATCTTTCTTCGAAGCTATATAGGTAATCCTAAGGTATAGCCAGCGTTAACTCCTGGTTTAAAAAGTCAAATAGCTCTTCTTAATAACAGCCATCTCTGGGATTACCCTTCTTAGCTCAATAATTATTTGTTAAATGAAAGAATCTAGGTGAAATTAGGTTCCAACCATCATCAAGGGGAAAAAACCAAAAGGGACAGCTAGCGGTGTTGTGAGGCAGTATTCAGTGTGCTATGATTAAGAGGTAAGACAGAGAGGCAGTGTCTACAAATAGCAGTGCTTTCCTGGGGCCGACTTAGGTCCAGGAGCTGGCTTTCCATTTTAGAGGTGAAAAACCGTATTTTGCCAGCCCACACAGGTGCGAGGTGGGATCTTCTTGACGACTCCCATTCACCAAACTTACAAGAGATTGATAACACTGCATAATTATGCAACTGCATGACTAACTCATTGGTGCTCTAGCCCTGACACAGAGAAGAACCGTACAGAGACAGTACACTGGATGCAAAGGTTTTAATTTAGGGAGAGGGAGGTGGGAAGTTAGGAGAAGATCATCTGAAAAGGGCACTGCTCAGGTAGGCACTTCTCAGGTGTGCCATCCATGTGGTAAACATCTTTAGCCACTGTATGGAGCCTCTGCTTTGCCTATGTTTTTAACAGGGTTTTAAACAAGTGTTTAGACGTGCCAAACACCTGCTGGTGAAAGGAAAATGCGGGGGCGGCGGGGGGTGGTGTGCTTCAAGTGGAGAAAGATAAATTTGCATTTCCTACTCAAAAGGAGAAACAAAAATAATGCATAATGGGAGAAGAAATTTAATAACTACCATTTCTAATTGGGAACATGTTATCTCATTTAATCCTCCCCACAGCACTGTGAGGGAGGTACTATGGTTATTCCATTCTATAAGGAAGAATCTAAAGCTCAGAGAGGTTAAATAGCTTGCCAAAGATCACAGAGTTGATAAGTAGTAGAAGCAGGGTTGGAACTCTCCAAGTCCCATGCTTTAACTTAGTTGTCCTCAAACTTTCCAGTACATTAGAGTCACCTGGGGGCTTATTTGAATTGCTGACTGCTGGGACCTACTCTCACCGTCCTCCCGCAGCCCCCCGCCCCACCAAATTCTGATTTTGAGGGTGTGAGGAGGGCCCAATAATCTAATGTTACAAGCCCCACGCCTCCCCTGCCCTGGTACTTATGGTGCAAGTGGTTCTTTGTGGGGATTCACAGCTCTTCTCTTTATGTGATGCCGGTGGACAAGAAAGCTGCCTCCTCCCTCTTCACAGCACATCCAAACTCGACTTTAAAAGAAGCTTAAACCATGATTCTCTTGTGTTCTTTGATCATCTTCCACTTCCTGGAATTGCTTGATGAGTTCAAAGGCCCTTCACAGTGAGCTCAGATCAGGACAAAGTGCACACATGTCTCTTAGTGAAGCATCTATCCCAGCTGGCTCACATCCCAAGAGAAGCGAATGAGCTCTTCCCCTACACGAGGCCCCAAAATTAGAGAGCGGTGATGAGCAGCTCTGTTGCAGATCATACCCCTGGATACCTTCAAGAAAAAAAGCATCTGTTTGGCCTTGAATTAAGTTATTTGGTCTCTGATTGTTGCTCTGCACCTCTCCCTGCACAAAACCCCGGAGAAAGGGAAGCAAACATTGGCTCCCAGAGAACTGTGAGTAGTAAACGCAAAAGCCTTCCCAGCTGCAAGCTGGGCCCCACTGCAGCTGTGAGGGGTGGAGGGTAGGGGGGTATCATTTTCTTAGCCTCAGTGAAATCACCTGCATTTGAATTTAATTCTACTTTGGCCCTTCCTCAACTCCCTGTTCTAACCCTAAGCTTCTCAGAAAGCCAGCACACACACCCCCTCACCTTGCCTTCAGCTTCTCCCTCACCCCATTCCCTCTGGCCAGGTTTCTGGAGATAACTGAGTAAGATCCTCCATAGCTTGGTGGCTGTTAGGGTCTTGGTCAAGCATTTCATTAAAGAAATGGCTTAATCAAGGAAGCCCACCATTCCACTCCTTCAGAAAAGACGAAACCATTCAATTCATGTAGCAGAAATAGCATCGAGGATTCAAAACTTCACTCTGTCACTCTGTGTAAAAGTTACCTTAATCTTTCTGAGACATGTGTATAAAATAGTAATAACACCTATTATGTTCAAGTGTGATAAGATTATATTTTTAAAGTGAATATTAAAGTGGCATATAGGGATTCTAATAATAATAGCAACAATAAATAGCTAACATTTCTTGAATATTTATTTCATGCCAAGCACTGTTCTAATCACTACATTTGAATTCATTTGTAAATTACAACCATCTGAAATAAGTACTTGTATTATGCCCATTTTACAGACAAGGAAACAGGTTCAGAGGGGTGGAACAAAGTGCCCGTGGTCACAAAACGAGTTCAAATCAAAGCTGAAATTCAAACCTAGTTCTGTGACTCCAACACCTGCTGCTGATGCTATGGTCATTGCCTTTGTTGTTTACTAAGAGCCTGCTGTGTGAAAGTTATGAGTGCCACAGACAGTAATAACACATGGGCTTATCCACAATAAGTTTGCAGTCTAGACCAGATATGGAGATAAGGCCTCTGCATTAAAGAGAGGCTAATACAAGTGCCCACTGAGTAGCTCAGAAGTTCAGGGAGGAGGCAGGAAGTCCATGGAGAGGTTAGAAATTACATACCCTTGGCTCATTTAATACCTTCTGTCTTCAATAGACTTACCTTCAGTTCCTGGGCCCTTCAATGGACCATGGACTTTAGAGTTATATTGCATGGGTTCTGGTCCCAGCTATAGGTGGGTTAAGTCATCTAGCCCCTGTGAGCTTTATTTTCCTTATCTGTCAAGTGAGGACAATAATAATACTTCCCCCTCCAGTGTTCCCGTGAAGACTACTTGAGCAAACACGTGTAAATGATACAGCACATGTTCAGCACTCAATAACATGGGAGAATTTATGATTATCTTTTTTTTTACTGCTCCTGTGGAAAGTGGGACCCCCATCATATTTTCTGTGTGCGCTCAGATTCAGATTTAGAAGGTAGTAATTCCCACCCCCACTGGCCAAATGGAAGGAAGGAAAAAGGAGAAGAGGGAGGGTGGGTTCTTGGGTGTGCACGGGCAACTCAGCAGGGGCTTGGGATGATAGAGCAGGTGGGAGGGTGGACCGGAGCCCAAGCATGGTTGGGGGATTGATGGATGTATGGGCAGTTTGAAAAAAAGGGAGACAGGCATGAGCAGGGTGGAAGAGAAACTAGTATATATGAAGCCCTTTTTTGTGTCAAGCACTGGGCTGGGTGCTTTCACCCATTCAACAAGTATTTTATTATTTATGCCTAAAATGTGCCAGGCCCTGAATTTGGCACTGATGATCCAGTCATAAGCAGGACAGAGAGATATGAAAGATATCCCTGCATTGCATTCCATTTCATGGAAGACAGACAATGAGAGAGATAAATGAGTGAAATGTTGAGTATATTCAATAGTGGTAAGTGCTGTGAAGTAAAATAAAGCAATAAAGTAGTATTTTCAGAGAATGCTGGAGGTGTGACCTCTATTTTAAGTAGGATGGTCAGGGAATGTGTCACTGAAAAAGTGACATTTGAGCACATAACTCACTTAATAGCTACTATATCAAGTAGATACTGTCATCCCCATTTTCTGCATGAAGTAATTAAGTGGGGTAAGTGGGGTAGGATATTGGGAGACACTCCTCCCTGGATCTCTTATGCTCCTATACTTCTTGTTGGGCATGCCAAGAATGCAAGGCCCTGGCAACTCTTTTCCAGGGACATTTCTCAGGGTTATATTAATAGTGGCAGTGAGAAATTTTCAGGGGTGAGGTAACATGGCCTCTGGGACAAAGAGTGGGAATCCTTACCGCTTGCTACAAAACTCTGGGCTCCCCAAGCTTAGTGTCATTGTCCCACAGCTGTGATGTAAACCGACTGCATATAAAGCATGAATTTGGGTCCCTCTGTGTCATCCCTATGGGACTTGGGGACAAGGGCAAGTGACACAAACTTGCTGATGCTCATGTTGTTTAATGTGTTGTGAGTAATACAGTCTGTCTCTGATCCAGAAGTCTTGTATTTTCTTCCAGCAATCATAAAACAGTAACAAGCTAAATTATTTGATTGTAAGTGGGGTAAAATCAAATCCAAAACCTGACAGAAATACAAGCTACTGAGAATCTGTGATGTGCCACACACCCACTTTTACACATTGCACATATATAGCGAACAAAATAGACAAAAGTCCTCTTTTATAGAGTGCACACTCTATGGGAGTGAACAGACAAGGGTACAAATAAATAAGACGATTAGAGATTGTGATCAGCACTGTGAAGGAAATAAGCAGGGGTAAACGACCGTCAATATCCTCATCTGTAAAATGGGGCCAATATTAATACCTACCTCTCAGGATTGTTGTGAGTGCCCAGCTCATGGAAAGTCTTCAACAAATATGGGCTTTTGTTATTATTTCTTTTTTCCTTCTCCCATGGAAATGAGGAAAGAAAATAGCTTCCTGCTCTACTTTGTAAGGGCTAAGGGTGGGGAGAGAGCTGCAGGAGAAAAGAGGCTATTGCCATCTGAGGAATTTTTTGCTGATCAATATCTAGGAACCAAGAATTTGAAATATTACAAACAAAAAAGAATTGGAATTATAATTATAGCCCTTGGAATTACAGCCCAACTCAATGATTTGGTGCACTCCTTTCACACAAAGGTATGCACTGAAACCACAGCCTCTGCTGAATGATTCTGGCCCCAGGAGCTCCCCTTCTCCTCTTCCCTTCTCCCAGTTGCTGCCCAGGGTCTATCTTGTCCAGGGCCAGCCAGGCAGGGCTGGGCTGTTGAGTTCTGTCAGTGCAGGATGTACAGAACCCTTGCAGACCCCTCTTCCTTCCCCTCCCACTTCTACCACCGAAACGCAGCTGCTTCCTCTCTGCCCCAGTGCTGATCCTGACAGCAGTGTCTCCAGCTAACTTCCCCCTCTTCAACCTCTCCCCAGCACCTGTGTCAACATGAAGCTCACTGACAGACCCCATTCCAGTCTAGATGCAGCAGACAGTAACAAATGGTGGTTGCCGTCATGTGAAGGGCTGGAGTCCTATTTTTCTTTCTGAGCCATCATACGAGAAACTATTTCAAGGACCCATTTTGTACCTTGAACACATCCCTCTCCTTCAATAACTCAGCCAGACATCGCCCTAATAGCTCTGTCTCCCTAAAGAACAAATAGCTAGCCTCCCATTTTTCTAACCCATTTGCTGCTGCAGTCCGTGTATGTTCAAGTGATGGTTGTTGATCAAGGGGCTAATTCACAATAATGATGGGACCTCATGTCTTTGTTGCAGGGTTTTCTCCCATGTATCATATTTTAAAAGCCTTTCTGAGAATTTTGGATTTTGTTTTTGGGTTTTTTAATTCTTTAATATATTTTTTTAAATTTTTATTTCAATAGCTTTTGGGCTGCAAGTGGCTTTTGGTTACATAGATGAATTATGTAGTGGTGAATTCTGAGATTTTAGTCCACCCATCACCCGAGTAGTGTACATTGTACCTAATGTGTAGTTTTTTATCCCTGCCCCCCCTCCCAGCCTCCCCCTTCAGAGTCTCTAAAGTCCATTATATCACTCTGTATGCTTTTGTGTACTCATAGCTTAGCTCCCACTTATAAATGAGAACATGTAGTTTTTGGTTTTCCACTCCTATGTTACTTCACTCAGAATAATGGCCTCCAGCTTCATCCAAGTTGCTGCAAAAGATTGTTTCATTCCTTTTAATGGCTGAGTAACATTTCATGGTGTATATATGTATATACCACATTTTTTTTATCCACTCATTGGTCGATGGACACTTAAGTTGGTTCCACATCTTTGCAATCGTGAACTATGCTGGTATAAACCTATGTGTACAAGTGTCTTTTTCATGTAGTGACTTATTTTCCTTTGGGTAGATATCCAGTAGTAAGATTGCTGGATCGAATGGTAGATCTACTTTTAGCTCTTTAAGGAATCTCCATACCGTTTTCCATAGAGGTTGTACTAATTTATATTCCCACCAGCAGTGTAGAAGCATTCCTTTTTCCCCACATCCATGCCAACATCTATTGGTTTTTGACTTTTTAATAATTGCCATTCTTGCAGGAGTACAGTGGTATCTCATTGTGGTTTTAATTTACATTTCCCTGATGATCAGTGATTTTGAGCCATTTTTGTTTGTTTGGTTTTGGTTTTTGTTTTGTTGTGGGCTTTTTTTTTTTTTTTTTTTTTGAGACAGAGTCTCGTTCTATCACCCAGGTTGGAGTGCAGTGGCTCCATCTCATCTCACAGCAACCTCTGCATCCTGGGTTCCAGCAATTCTCGTGCCTCAGCCTCCTGAGTAGCTGAGACTACAGGCATGCCCGGCTAATTTTTGTATTTTTAGGACAGATGGGGTTTTGCCATGCTGGCCAGGCTGGTCTTGAACTTCTGGCCTCAAGTAATCCACCCGCCTCGGCCTCCCAAAGTGCTAGGATTACAGGTGTAAGCCACCACGCCTGGCCTATTTGTATATCTTCTTTTGAGAAATGCCTACTCATGTCACTTGCCCACCTTTTAATGAGATTTTTTTTCTTGCTGATTTGTTTGAGTTTCTTGTAGGTTCCAGATACTAGTCCTTTTTCAGATATGTAGTTTGCAAAGATTTTCTCCCATTCTGTGGGTTGTCTGTTTACTCTGCTGATTATTTCTTGTGCTGTGCAGAAGCTTTTCAGTTTAATTAGGTTCCAATTATTTATTTTTGTTTTTGTTGCATTTGCTTTTGGGGTCTTGGTCATGAATTCTTTGCCTAGGCCAATGTCTACAAGGGTTTTTTCGATGTTATCTTCTGAAAGTTTTATAGTTTCGCGTATTAGATTTAAGTCTTTAATCAATCTTGGGTTGATTTTTGTATAACATGAGAGATAAAGATTCAGTTTCATTCTTCTACCTGTGGCTTGCAAGTTTTCCCAGCACCATTTATTAAATAGGGTGTCCACTCCCCAGTTTATGTTTTTGTATGCTTTGTCAAAGATCAGTTGGCTGTACGTATTTGAAAAGCCTTTCTGAGACTTTTGAAAGAGATCTTTATTATATGGACATGTACCCCTTTTTCTGTGATGTCTGGAACTGGGGTAGCAGGCAGTGGTCCAGGATTTTTCTCTAAACTGTGTGTACTTTGAGTTTCCCCAGACCTTGCCAGCCTGCAGGTATATAAAAGGTCACACAATCTCTCACTCTTCCAAATTTTGCCAGCTCTTGCCTTTATCTCTTATGCAGAATTTGGCCTCTATCAAAGGACCCCTTAATAATATTAGAGTCCCCAAGGGATGTCTGCTTCCTGCCAGGGGCTGCTCTTGCTGCCCTTCTATTTATCTCTTGGTGCCTGTGCTAAGCAACCCTGCATCCACTGGGCACTGCTATCTGCTGCTACAGCTGAGGCACTGGGGCCCTTGAAATGCCAAAGCTAGGCAATATATTATTCTGCATAGGGGGAAAAGATCTCTCTTCCCTTTGTGATACTTTTTGTTAGAGGCACAGCCAAACCGGCATGCTCATGTGCTGATGTCCTACTAAGGTTTTTTAAAGAGACGACTCTTCTCTTCCACCTCCTTTTTCTCAGAAGATGTTGAAATTATTTCAAAGGCAGCTGGACCAGAAGACATACACATCTGCATTCAGAATTTCCCCTTCCCTCCCAATACTAAGGATTTCTTACTGGATCCAACTTTCTGTGCCTGGTTTGTGTTTCCCTCAGAGTGAAGTACGTAAATCAAACTTCAATCCTGTATATACTCCAGCACACCAACATCACCTGTGTACTTTTTTGTCCTTCTCTCCACAACAGCTAAGTTTAAAAAGATGAGAAAAAGACAGTGCAAAGGTGAGGGCACACAAGTGGCCTTATGTCTAGTTTGCCGCAGTAGTAAAAGTTCTTCAAAGGCTGTATACTTGTGTCAACATCAAAGAACAAAGAAACATGTGTGATGGCAGTTTCTGGTCAGAAGCAAAATGTTTTCTGTCTCCTCACAAGAGAAGTTCAAGCTCAGGCAAGAGGATATTAATTAAAAGATTGCACAGGCTATTTTGAAATTGAAAAGGGGAGGAAGGTTCATTAGATGGCCTTTGTTTTGGTCACTTTGGGCTGCTATAACAAAAATACCATAGATTGGGTGGCTTAAACCGTAGACACTTATTGCTCACACTTCTGGAGACTAGAAAATCCAAGATCGAGGTTCTTGGTGAGGGTTCTTTTCCTGGTTTGCAGATGGCTGCCTTCTTGCTGTGCCCTCACATGGTGGAGGGAGAGATCATCTCTTTGTGTCACTTAAAAGGACACTAATCCCATTTATGAGGGCTCTACTTTCATGGCATAATTACCTCCTAAAAGCCACACTTCCAAATCCCATCTGCAATGCTTTAAATATTGTTTGTCCCCACCAAAACTCATATTAAGGATTGGTTTCCAACGTGGCAGCATTGGGAGGTGGTGCCTTTAAGAGGTGATTAGTTCATTAAGATGGATTAATGTCTTTCTCATGAGACTGGGTTAGTTCTTGGGGAAATGGATTCATTCTTAGCTTGCCTGTTGTGTTTTGCCCTTTTTGCATGTACTGACTTCCCCTTCTATTCTCTGACATGTTTTGATAAAGCCCTCACCAGAAGCCAACCAGATGCAACTGCCCAACCTTGGACCTCCCCGCCATCAGAACTGTGAGCTAAATAAATTTATTTGCTTTATAAATTACCCAGCCTCAGGTATTCTGCTGTAGCCACAGAAAACAGAATAAGACACCATCACATTGGAGATTAGGGCTCCAATGTATGCAAGTGGCGGGGGGGTGTTATATTAGTCAATTCTCACGCTGCTATAAAGGACTACCTGAGACTGGGTAATTTATGAAGAAAAGATATTTAATTGACTCACCGTTCCACAGGCTATAGAGGAAGCATGGCTGGGGAGCCTTCAGGAAACTTACAATTATGGCAGAAGGGTGATGGGGAAGCAGGCACATCTTCACATGGTGGCAGGAGAGAGAGAGAGAGAAAAAGAGAGAGAGAGAGAGAGAGAGAAGGGAGAAGTGCCACACACTTTTAAACTATCCGATCTCATGAGAGCTCACTCACTATCATGATAACAGCAAGGGAGAAATCCGCCCCCATGATCCCATCGCCTCCTACCAGATCCCTCCCCCAACACTGGAAATTATAACTTAACATGATATTTGGGTTGGGACACAGTGCCAAACCATATTGGGAGGGCAGGGAGGAGACACAAACATTTAGTCCAGAGTAGCCTTCAAGGCCTATTATAATCCTGCTGCTTAGAATAGTGCGGTATTTTCCAAAGTGTGGTAGGCAAACCACCAGCGAGATATGAGATGATTATCAGTCATACCCAGATGAACATTTATAATAAGCAGTTATAGGTATATTAGTATAATTTTCTTCCATTTAGGGTACTTGATACTGGATTTCAGTTTATGGCAGTGACATAGATTTTCCTTTTAATGAAAGTTTAAAAGTTGATTCAAAAATATTAAGGAAATAATAGTGTAGACACAATGCAGTACTATTCAGCCAAAACAAAGAATGAGATCCTGTCATTTGCAAAAACATGGATGGAACTGGAGAGTATTATGTCAAGTGAAATAAGACAGGCACAGAAAGACAAACATCACATGTTCTCACTTATTTGTGGGATCTAAAAATCAAAACTATTGAACTCACAGACATAGAGAATAGAATGGTTACCAGAGGATGGGAAGGAGAGTGGGAACCTAAGGGAGGGAGGTGGAGATTGTTAATGGGTACAAAAAAATAGTTAGAAAGAATGAATAAAACCTAGTATTTGATAGCACCACGGGGTGACTATAGTCAATAATAACTTAATTGTACATTTTAAAATAACTTAAAGAGTATAATTGTATTGTTTGTAACACATAGGATAAGTGCCTGAGGGGATGGATATCCCATTCTCCATGATGCGCTTATTTCACATTGCATGCCTGTATCAAAACATCTTATGTCCCCCATAAGTATATATACCTACTATGTCCCTATAAAAATTAAAAATTAAAAAATTTTACAAAATAATAGTGTAGGCAGTACACGATATGGCAAAAATCATGAAGGTGGTATTTGAGAGGCTGGAGGCTGAGAAATGGTGGGGTAATGGTTTAAAGCTTGAGCTTTGAAGTCAGACAGATCTGGTTTCCAGCACTGACTCTACTACTTACTAGCTGAGTGACGTTGAGCAGATATGTATGTGCTTAAATATAGTGCTAGGCACCCAGATTTGACCAAAGCTTCACACTACTGAAAGCCTATGAGGACCCACCTCAAAGGCTACAGTCGTCCCTCCCAAAAGAAAAAGGCAGCCAGTGCAAAGTACCTCAGTGGGAGCTGACCTAGGGCTGGCCTCAGACCCCAGACCTGATTTTAGAGTTGTGTGTGGAAGGTCATTTTATAAAGTCATGCCCAAATGCCAGCTAAAACTCTTCCAGCCCTAACTGTAGATGGTTAATCACATGCCGGAGTGTCCTAGTCTGACCATGCTGACGAGTCTTTAGCCCCAGTCTGGCCAACAGTCTGGCTCAAGCCCATTGGGCCTCTCGTCTTAAGCCTTGCCTCTACCATGCTTTTGTGAACCCAGCCCTCATATCATCTGAGATTAGGGGGAAAGGAAGTAATTGGAAAAAGGCCACTCATGTCTACCACAGGTGGCCTAACAGTGTCTCAGAATCACTGTACTCCAGGGTTTCTTGGGAACAGAACAGAGGGGCAGAAATGATCCACACCCACCTCCATTCCACATCTTTTTATTACCCCATAAAACCACCCAGGTGCCTGTGCCTTTCAAACAACTCCTGAGCACAAAACCCTGGGAAGAGTATTTAAAGTGTATTGAGGGTGGTTTGTGTTCTTCTCAGGGGCCTCACTCTCAAGTAGGCCAACTTGCCCTTTAGTGCTGTGACTAGGCTAAGGTAGGTAAGTTAACACTAAGCCTTCCCAGTCCAACTCCAAAGAGCACGTGGGAAAAACTCCTTCCTTACAGGAGCCTGCGAGACATCTGCAGGGAAACAAACAGCCCCTCCTTTCAGCTCACTAGTCCAAAAACTACTTTTGCCAAGCATTGATGCTGCTTCCGGTTCCATCTGTCTTTCACTTGAATCCGCATCATTTCTCTTATTTAAATAGCCAAGTGAGGTCCTGGTGGTCCTCTCTCATTCTCATATTTGGTTTCTTTATTTCCATGGGAATAAGCATGAGGCCTGTAAGCAAGTGTCCTTTTTGCTTTCTCCTATTGAATATTCTACATGTAGTGGCTTCCTTTGAGTCCTACATTTTTGTTTATCAGGATAAGTTGACTTTAGGCTGAAAGTTTCAAGGGCCTTGACTGATTTGGGTTGGCTGTTGGGAAAAGAGATTTAGGGTAGAATAAAGCAGTAGGGTTTTCTAAGGCACACAAAAAGGAGAAAAGATAAGTAGGGGACAGGGCTCCTGAAAGACCAGCTGTTCCATCCAACTCTATCTTTACGCACACTATCAGTAGGGGCTTATTTAAGACAACATTCCACCTCCACCCCCCCACACACTGTTCAGCTCATTAGGGGGTCTACTGGCTTCTCAGAGCTTCCAGCAGTACTAAGGGAGATGATCTAACTCCAGCCGCTAAGGGTGTCCCAGTAGCAGAAGGCTTCTTAGGCATTTTGCCTTATTAAGCAGACCAACAACATGGTGCTCCAAGGGATAACTACCTGGGAATAGGGTTGCCAGATACATTACAGGATGAAACATTTGGGATATGCAAATGCTAAAAAAAATCTCTTGTTTATCTGAAACTCAAATTTAAGTGGACATCCTATATTTGTATCTGCAAAATCTGGCAAATTAGCAAATTTAGCAAAACCCTACCCAGAGACCCCATATGCGACTCTAAATTATCCTCTGATAAAGGGGTGAGAAATAAGGGTCCCCCAAGCTAAAATGTACTTTTTTCAAATTGTCTAATGAGAGTCAAACTCTCCGGCCCTAACCCCAGTCCCCAAACATGCAATAAGAACGCATGACTAGTTTTTCTGTTAAGAGCAGCTGGCTATATCCCTGCCTCCAATTTTCACTTGCCCTAGGTTAATTGTCCACTTTTCTCACACAAAATGAACTCTTCCCAGGTGAACTCGGCCATCTGCAAGTTTTAGAGAAATGTGTAGAATGTCTCTACATGAGGCTAGGCATGGAGATAGTCACTTAGAGGTCTCCAAGAATGTTCTCTGATTGCTCCCCATGGAATCAGCAGAGTTCAGGAGGAAGAAGGAGGGAATTATCGTCCAGCCTTTCCCCTGTGACTTCTAAGTCCATCTCTTCAAGCCGCTGCAGCCTGCAATCCCCAGCCTGGCTCCAGTAGCTTTGTTGGTGGAAACATCATTTTGCTCACAAAGACAGACCGAGATTTTCATTTTATTAAAATAAAAGAAATTTAAGATAAGATTTTATGAATATTTAGAAAAGCAGCATGTTGCATGATATAAGACATATTTACATGCCACAGAAGGAGCACAAATATTGTACTTCCAGGATGCTTTGAAAGGTATTGGATTGTTCATTGTTTACTAGCCTCCAGGCATTATTACACAAGCTAGCTTGGGAAAAATGGTGACTGCTACAGAGGCTTGGAAAATGTATAGGACACTTTCAGATTTAAAGCTGCTCCTCCCAGTACTACTTGGCCCACACAGCACACAGAAAACAGACAGGCAAGGTGGTGGGCAGGTGGGTTTCACTGACACCTCCCGAAAGGGACATCATCTGAAAGTGACCGCAGGCCTTGGGGCTCTGGCTTTACAATTGTCAGCAGCTCATAGATTAAGCTTTAACAGAGGAATCCTGTCTGGTTATGGCTCTCCCAAGGCACCTAAGCTTGAAGTCTCTCACCATTTTATTCATTTAATCAACAAACATTTAATAAATTTCTATTGTGTGTCAGCGAAACTGAGAGAGCAGTGGAAAAAACTGATACAATCCCCAAACTTGTAGAGCTGAGGGACTAATGGGAGACACAGACAAGGAAATGAGCAATTACAATACATGATGTATAAGTGTAAGTGCTGGCCGGGTGCGGTGGCTCATGCCTATAATCCCAGCACTTTGGAAGGCCAAGGCAGGCGGATCACCTGAGGTAAGGAGTTCGAGACCACACTGGCCAACATGGTGAGAACCAGTCTCTACTAAAAATACAAAAATCATCCAGGCATGGTGGTGCACGCCTGTGATCCCAGCTACTTGGGAGGCTGAGGCAGGAGAGTCGCTTGAATCCGGGAGGTGGAGGTTGAGGTGAGCTGAGATCATACCACTGTACTCTAGCCTGGGCAGCAGAGTGAGACTCTGTCTTAAAAAAAAAAAAAAAAGTGTAAGTGCTATAGGAGCACAAGGAAGAACCCCTCACCCATTCCAAGAGCATCTGGGAAAGGACCCCTATGGAAACTGAGGTCTGAACTGAGGCCTAAACGATGAAAAGGAGTTAAGGGAAAAAAGCTGTTTTAAGCAGAGGGAACATGTCCCAGTGACCAGAAGGGAATTTGAGGAGTAGAGGAATGGAGGCATGGAGTTCGAGGGCTAACCATCATCATGCATAGCATTTAGCTAGGATGTCCTGTGGGCCAGTGCTTTGCTAAGCATTTAGCATACATTGTCTCATTGGAGCCTCACAGCATCCCTCAGATGAGGCACAGGGAGATTAAGAGCCTTACCAAAGTCAAACCTCTGGTAAGAGATGAAGACAGAATTGAACCCCAGCCATCTAGCTCCAGAGCCAACATTCTTAACCTCCACTCTATAAAGCGAAATCTATATCTCAAATGAATAAAACAAATGGTGGAACTTCAGCACAGGACTCTAGCCTTCACTCCTGGAGCCACCAACCCCAGCCATAGGTCCAAATCTATCCCAGCTTCTGGCCCTTTTCTGACCTCAGAACCTCTGTCCAGTCCCTGGTTTCTTGCCAATTACCCGTGCCCAGTCATGACTCTCCCTTTCTGCTAGATCCCTGGTCAGCATGTCAGGTTCCCAGAGCTGAGACTGACTCCCTAATTCTCATGAGAACTAAAGTCTTTCTTGCCTCTGAATCCCAGTTCCTAGTCCCCTCTTATCAGACCAACTGGTATCACACTATGCCTCCTTCTCTGGATTTCTTACTATTCTGGTTTCATTGACATCTGCAGATCACTTCCGTGTCTCTGTATTTCTGGCCGATCTCTAAGGTCTAGCCATCCTCAGTCTAGCCTGACCCGAATTGGGAGGAGAGAAGTGGAAAGAGACAGAGACTTGTGAAGGCAGGAAGGGCAACTGTATGAGAGGCTGAGCGAGTGGAGAGATTTGAGAATATGGGTAAGGCTGAGGCTGAGAGCCTAGAAGCAGAGCTGGCTTTATTCTTAGGTGGAGTATGTGACCCAGACCCTTCCAAAATACCCTATTCCAATAGCTACTTGGGGGAATGAAATCCCTTTAAGAGGATGTTTGCAAAGAACTGAGAATATAGAGCCCAGGTGAGGAGAAACACCTACTGTACTTAATGTTACAGTAGAGTACATGCCTTTCTAAATGTTCACTTTGGTTGAGGAGGACACTCAGTATCTGAAAGAAAAAGGGAGAGAACCTTGTAGTGAAGAATTGTAGCCAAAAGGGAGAGTTCAAGAATATTCACAGGCATAGATATCCCAACCAGGCAGAGATGACAACTTGACTCAGGTCCAGCCTTGCCTAGACATAGTGCCTTCATCATACTACAGATGTGGTTTCTTTTTGGATGTGGTTTCTGACTTTGTTTGAGCAGATGGCCCTGACAGAAAACTTAACATTATCTGCTGTTTATTATGCACTGCCCTGTAAGACCACCACATGTGTGATAGTCCCTACAATATAGGAAGGAGCCAATTGAAGAGTTCATATTTTGGGCAACTCTACTCCCTTTTTCCTACTCCAGAGTTTAGGGACAGCTGTTGAGCAAATGGAGGAGGCAGTTAGAACTAGCCCAGGGCTTCTCAAATTTTAGTGTACACATGATCACCTGCAGGTCTTGTTAAAATGCAGATTCTGACTCAGTAGGTTTGGGGTGGGATTCAGAGTTTGAATTTCTAAGAAGCTCCAAGGTAATGCTAATGCTATCAGTTGGGGGGACACACTTTAGATAGCAAGGCTATTTCTGCCATTCTGCATTCTAATACATTAACCTGCTTCCTCATAACCTGTGAAGTGCTGAACAAATATGAAGGAATCATATTGCACTTTTATTTGATGAACCTGCCAACCCTAAATAGAATGAACAAATAAGCCCCATGAAGGAGAGAGAAGAAGTGGTGGCTGCCCATTAACAACAACAACAACAGTAAAATTATACAGGCCAAGAGGGAGAGTTATATTTTCCCCAAGTTTCCTACAGCTGTTTATTGGTCATGGGGCGCATAAAACATCTTATGAATGTTTCACTGCCGAAGAAAAATTGCTTCAAGCTGAGCTAGGATAGGAGTTAGGTATTACCATGGATATGAATATATTTTCACAGTTCAGCTCAATTACCACATTGTTTATCATGTTGCTTTACAACATTGCAGACTATTAAAGCTACTTTTTCATTTTACAGTATAGGAAACTAAGGCTGGCCAGGCAGGTGATTTCAATTTGCTCAAAGTCACATGGCTAGTTAGTATCAGAACTGAACTAGAACCACCCAATGAGCACAGTGCTCTTTCTACTGCAAGGATTTGTTAAAATAGTGTCTGAACAGGGGAAAGATTTTAAGTTAATTGGTCACAAGTGGTCCCCATACCCTGCTGTGGGGAGCTTAGCGGAGGTTCCCTGAATAAAAACATAGTTTGGGACTGGAGAAGAAATTTTCCAGGCTCTCGGTCACTCAAACAAATAGACATCTTTTTGAGCATGGATTGCCCATTTGTTTATTCAACAAACACTTGTTGAGCCCTGTGCTGGCTGGGGATAGAAATTTTTTTAAAACCCACAGTCCCTGCCTTGACAGAGCTTAGAATCCACTGAGGAGAGACTGATGTATAAATACTAAGTTCAATAAACTCCCATAGCTATTGGGGGGGGGGGCACAAGAGATGGTTTCAGAAACGAAGTAATCAGCCAAAAAGGAAAGCAGGCCAGCTAATCACTGAGCATGATGTAAGGCAGAAACTTAAGTGCAGTATGGTCAGAGTTTAGTGTAAAGAGGGAGGGAGGGATCTTTGTAAGCTACAGAGTTCACGGAAGGCTTTTTGGAAAGGTTAAGTCTAGAAGTAAGCTTTGGAGTATGTGTAGGAATCATATAACCAGAGAGGATACTTCAGATGAGGAACAGCATGAGCAAAGGTAAAGATACAAGAAAGTATATTGTCTATTTGGGGATGGCCCTTCAGATATTAAGTTTAAAACTGTTCTTAAATCACCCTTCACCTTTTGCTTCTCTTTTGCCTTTCCTAT
Organism: Homo sapiens; assembly: GCF_000001405.40. Lineage (NCBI taxonomy): Eukaryota > Metazoa > Chordata > Mammalia > Primates > Hominidae > Homo > Homo sapiens. The sequence continues at coordinate 137,868 of NW_021160027.1, read as the reverse complement.
AAGTACCTCTGGCCAGCAGGTTACATTTGAATTGTTTCTTTACTCTCCAACTTCACTCTTCATGCTCACTGTGCCTCTGGTAGTCTGCAAGGCCACCATGTACAGTTGTGCATGTTGTTCACTGCACAAAGGATACCCAGTCATGGAGGTGAATGGGGGCTGAAATCCATACTGCACTGTACTCACCAAGTAATGCTTTCCTTTCCTAGTTTGATACATGTGCTTGCTAGGCCATGCCCCCAACCCAAAAAGGAGCACTTTTTCCAGTTTACAGAAAGGTACCCTAGCAGTGGCTGAGGCACTAAATCATATGTAGATGAAAGGTAAATAAGTGAGGTAAATAAGATTTATCTCTGATTTGTTCCAGCTTCAAGTCTTTACAGCTGAAGCCACTAATGAAGCCACCACAGTTCCACCACAGTTTTTATGCTAATCATGACTAAAGTAGGAAAAGTAGCAAGAGCCCCAGGGACCCTTCAGGAAGCTTAGAAGTGTCACTTCCCTGGATCCTGCATGAGGTGACCCAGAGATGACCTATGCCTGATGTGGCTCCCTTGATTTCATTTCTCTCTAATCCTAAACTGGATGACTAAGTGGTACCATTTCCCCTGACTCAGTTATTCTTTCTCATAAGAAAACTACACTTCTGTATGACTCACAACCAAGCTTATTCCTTATTTCTTATCTCCCCTACCTGGCAGTACCACCAAAATCATCCTTAGAAATCAACTGGACACGCACTTGCCATACCCACCTACCATGGTTGGTAGTCTTGTGCCAAATCCTGACTCCCTTTTCCTTCCCACCTGTCCTGTGCCACCAAGAGCCACTCTTCCCCACAAGCTACCAATCGGAGCTTTCAGACCTCCAAGTTTCCCTGGCTTTATCAGGCTTAAAGGGCTAAGCCTCTATAATATAAAAACCCAATAGTACAGGGAGTCAAAGAACTCACCACTTGTCAAGTTTCTCTCCACTTGACAGTCCAGAGCACATAGGTGGCCTACTCAACTCATTCAGTCACTCATGGACTTGGGTTGATTCCTTCATGTTTCTCTGCCCTTCTGTAAGGCAACAGCCTTATCTGCCAGTTTCAAAGCTGAGTAATGTGTGCTATGGGCACATCCATATTTCTTCTGTTAGAGGAAAAAAGTAAAGAGAAGCACATGTGCAAAGTTTAAAGAGCTGGGCCTAGAAAAAGCACACATCACTCCTACTTACATTTCACTGGTCTCAGAGCCACACCAGACCACAAAGCGGGCTGGAAAATGTACGTAAGTACCTAGCTGGACATCCTCACCCTGGCTACAGGTCTATTATTAAGGAAGATGCCAAACTATCAGTAAAAAGCATCTATTTTGTCATAATTTTTTACCCATGATAGAAACTTCATGATCAAGTATAATAAAGTTCAACCAATTTAAATAGAATCAAACTTAATGTATTAATAAATGTGTTTAAAGCATAGCATATACTTTTCCCTTACGCACTGTTTCTCAAAGTGTGGTGCATGGACTCTGGGTGATCCAGGGCCACTGATCATTCCCAGAAACCTAGCCAGTGACAGAGGAAAAAGCAATAATATTATTTCTTTACATACCTTCCACATATTTGAGATGTAAGGCTAATTATGATTTTTTACAGCAATCACATTACATTCTTTTTGTCAAATTACATTCTTAACCATCCTTATGTATTTTTTTTTTGAGACATGATCTTGCTGTGTCACCCAAGCTGGAGTGCAGTGGTGCGATCCTGGCTCACTGCAACCTCCACCTCCCAGGCTCAAGCAATCCTCCCACCTCAGCCTCCCAAGTAGCTGGGACTACAGGCATTCACCACCACACCTGGATACCTTTGGTATTTTTTTGTGGAGACCAGGTTTAGCCATATTGCCCAGACTGGTCTTGAAGTCTTGAGCTCCAGTTAAGAGAATAAACTTCCGGCTGGGTGCGGTGGCTCACGCCTGTAATTCCAGCACTTTGGGAGGCCGAGGTGGGTGGATTGCCTGAGGTTAGGAGTTTGAGACCAGCCTGACCAACATGGTAAAACCCCATCTCTACTAAAAATACAAAAATTAGCCAAGCGTGGTGGCACATGCCTGTAATCCCATCTACTCAGGAGGCTGAGGCAAGAGAATCACTTGAACCCAGGAGGCAGATGTTGCAGTGAGCCGAGATCATGCTACTGCACTCCAGCCTGGGTAACAGAGAAAGACTCTGTCTCAAAAAAAAAAAAAAAAAAGAAAAAACTTTTGAGGAGGTCGAGGACCCCGAGAAATGAGGGGGTTTGCCTAATGTCAAGCACTGGGTGTGCAAACCTGCAGCTGCTGTGACAGTTTCTGGCAGTGAGTCTCTGACACGAACAGCTCCCTCTGTTCAGGGAGGACCCGGGCACCCTCACTTTGAGTCTTGGTCTTACTTTTCATCTAAAAGGGTGGAGCGGATCCCCAGCTTTTTCAGTTCTTCCACCAGGTCCCCATTCTGGTGCATCTGGGCTCCATTCCTTTGTTCTTCCCTCTAGCTGAGGAAAAATAACCACTAACCCTGAGGAGACAGCCTGTGAGGTTTAGCTCATAACTGACATGTGGGTCAAGTGAGGCAAACTGAATAGACTCCAACATCATAGCCTGGCATTGCTATTTACCCCCCTCTAGTAAAAACAAAATTCCATCTAGTTCATGACATCTGAAAGGAGGTATCTCACGCTGCCTGCTTGGAGGGCAATTCATTTGGAAATCTCTCTGGGAAAGCACAGAGCAGAGCTGATTTATGGCACCACCACAGGGTATCACTGCAAGCATCAGGACCAAGTGGAGGAAGTGCCACTGCCCAGCCCTGAGGCCAGCATTCCAGCCTGTGAACAAATCCTGTGGGTTGGAATGCTGCTGCTAACCCAATGAGATGGACTGCTGGCCCACGCGGCAGCCTCTGACAACACTTAACTGTGAGAGACCTGGGCTCTGGGGAGGCCTCTTCCTGCTGAGTCACGGCGATGTGACCACCAGGGTGGGAACCGAGCCCAGGAAAAGTTCTTTCTGGACTAGGTCGACCCTTGTGCAGATTACTGGTTCATGCTGAGTGCTTTTCCCTGAGACATCAGGGCCTCTGTCACCCTTTCCAGACCAGCCCCTCTGGCCACTGCCATGCCAGGATGTATCTTATGGCACTCTTGGGACTCTAGGGTGAAGAACCCACCAGATTTAGAAATTTTGATGACTCAGGTACATGGAAATGTGAAGGTCTCTCAAGCTATCAACAAAGCAAACAAATTTAAAAAAATGAACAAAATCTCTATCAGGGCCTGGCGCGGTGGCTCACGCCTGTAATCCCAGCACTTTGGGAGGCCGAGATGGGCGGATCACAAGGTCAGCAGATCGAGACCATCCCGGCTAACACGGTGAAACCCCATCTCTACTAAAAATACGAAAAAAAATTAGCCGGGCGTGGTGGCGGGCGCCTGTAGTCCCAGCTACTCAGGAGACTGAGGCAGGAGAATGGCGTGAACCCGGGAGGCGGAGCTTGCAGTGAGCCGAGACAGCGCCACTGCACTCCAGCCTGGGCGACAGAGCGAGACTCCGTCTCAAGGAAAAAAAAAAAAAAAAAAGTCAATGGGATTTTTGGGGCAGTAAAATTATGTTGATTTTTCCTCTTTTTATTTTGCTGTATTTTCCAAGTTTTATATTACTTTTATGTTGGAAAAATAAACTTTACTAAGGAAAAAAGGTTTGTCGAATATTAAAGTAACAATAAAAATAAGCCTGTGTGTGTGTGACAATATCATATAAGCAGTCGAAAATGCAAATATGAAGTAAGAAGATAAATGTCTGAAAATTTGATTTTATTAGACCTGCCATCCATTTGCCCCAGTCTCCAGCATGCTCTTTATAATAAAATGTATCAAATTGTAGCACGAAGTCATCAAAGCTTTTACATAACTTTCTTCCTGTGTTGGCAGTTTATTTAAAAAAAAAAAAAAACCCAGTTATCACAGTTTCTTCTTTGTCCATCGTTTTCCATAACGGAAGAAGCTATACATAATTTGGGGGAAGATATTGTCTTTGCAGACTGACATATTTGCAGAGGGGTCATGAATAATGATTCCAAAGCTCCTAGTTTAACTCCTGAATCAGGCAAAAAATAAATGGCAATATAAGAACAAATTTTGTTTACAGCAATATCATAATACAGCATTGAATTATTACAGTGCAGTGGTTGTAATTAAGCTCACAATAAAATCTTATTAGCCCAAACACCAGACAACCTAAAATCACCCGACTGCTCACGAACGGAAATGATCAGTGCAACGCAGTTGTCTCAGTAGTGAAAACCAAAATCGGTAAGGTTTTTCTGGCAGTGAGTCTCTGACACGAACGGCTCCCTCTGTTCAGGGAGGACCCGGGCGCCCTCACTTTGAGTCTTGGTCTTTCTTTTCATCTAAAAGGGCGGAGTGGATCCCCAGCTTTTTCAGTTCTTCCACCAGACCCCCATTCTGGTGCATCTGCAAAAGAATGTCACAGCCCCGCACAAACTCGCCGTTGAGGTACACTTGCGGGATGGTGGGCCAGTTGGAATAGTCTTTAATGCCTTGTCGCAGCTCGGGGTCGTCCAGCACTTCGTAGGCCGCATAGTCGCGGACGCCGTGCACCCACAGGATCTGCACCATGGCGTTGCTGAAGCCGCACTGGGGTTGCTCCGCCGTCCCCTTGAGGGAAGACAACCACTTTGTCCTTCACCAGTGCGTCCAGCCGCTCCCCTGAAACACCACCGCCCGCACCCGAGCCCGCCGCTCGGCCGAGGGACCCGCTCATCCCTGCATGCTCGCCGAAGCCCACGACGCCCCAGGTCTTTGGCTGGCCACCTAGAGCTCTCCTCGGCCCACGGCCGCTTTTACATAATTATTAATCAAAGTACAGTTAACCCTGTGATAAACCAATTGAATATTTTGAAAGCAAGCACGAAGTAATTCTTTGCTGTATGAAGTTGATGAATATTGTGACGAAGGCAGGGAAGATATAAAAGCTATGGGGGTTTCATTCAACGTTATTAGACCTCTTGGCAAAACAAGTACAAATCACTTCATTGCCAAGAAGCTTATAAAACCAGGCACAATATCAATGACAAAGTGACTTAGAGAAAGCAGAGTGAGTCATCAGCAGAATTTTTATAACAACGTCATAGGACATCCGTAATATCTATGGCACACAATATAAAAGGCAATTATTATCACATGTGGACACCAGCAGATATTCTACTTTAGAGACAGGTAAAAACACGGATATGCAGACTCTTGGCATAGGAGTGGTATGTACACACACAGACACACACACGCACACACACACAAACACACACGGGAGAAGTGCTCCACATTTTTGACACTGAAATCCCATGCTATAAGAGAAAAGAGGTTTTTTTTTTAAATTATGCTTGTTACCTTAGATACAGATTTTCATGCAGTTGTTGTAAGAAATACTGCAAAGAGAAACCATGTACCATTTTCCCGGTTTCCCCCAATGACAGTGTCTTGCAACACCATACAGTATCACAACCAGGATATTGGCATTGATACAGTCAAGATACAGAATGGTTCCATCACCACAAGGATCCCTCATGTTGCCCTTTTATAGCCACACCCATTATCTCCAACTCCACCCCCTTCTTAACTCCTAGCAACCACTCACATGTTCTCCATTTTTATAATTTTGTCATCTCAAGGATGTTATACATTTGGAATCATATATAATCGGGTCATTGCCTTTTTTCACTTAGTACAATTTTTGTAAATCCACTCAAGATGTTGTACATATCAATAATATGTTCCTTTTCATTTGTGAGTAGTGTTCTATGCTATGGATATACCACAGTTTGCTTAACCATTCACATGTTGAAGGACATTTGGGTTGTTTCCAATTGGGGGCTATCAGGAATACACTGCGGTGAACATTTGTGTACAGGTTCTTGTATGAACATAAGTTTTTAAATCTCTGGGATAAATGCCCATGAGTGTAATTGCTGGGTTGTATGGTTGTTGCATGTTTGGTTTCATTAGAAACTGTTCAACTCTTTTCCAGAGTAGCTGTACCATTGTACATTGCCACCAGCAATATAGGAGAGATCTAGTTTCTCTTCATAAAAGGAAAGGTTTTTAATTTAGTTAACAAGTGGTTTTTTTTAATGAGTCATGAAGTAGATTGGAAAAGGGGCACTGCGGCCAATTCTGAAGAGCATTAGCCATGACTGCCGCCCAGAAATATGTAGCAAATAAAAGAGGTTGCACCCGTATGTGAAGCCACTCACGACTTGATTAACAATGATCAGCAACATGCCTTCTGATCACAGTTCAGTATTGAAAAAAACAAATACTGTGAGTATAATAAAATTTTGGCCCCTAAGAAGATGTCTTCCCAGCATGCTGTACAAAGAAATAAGCAGTAAATACTAATCTCCACTTTTCCACACTAAGCATGCCAGCTGTTGAGAGAAGCTGCTCTCCCATAACTTTTTGATACAAGGGATAGGGAAAGGGACCTTATGAAAATGATAATGCCACTAAAGAGCATTTCTCATATTCAAATGCCTTGCTGAAGACATATTTTATAGCCACATTTTCAGAATATTAAAGAACCTGTAGTTATTAGCTCAGTGGTGAAATACTGCCATGTTTAATGTTAAAGATAAAATAATCAGAATTTTTTAAGAAGACTGAACTATGATGCAAACAGCTTTGTCACTAAGAATTTGATTCTGTCCCAACATGTGGAGACTTTATGCACTTCTTGAAGAAAGAAATCGACTATATATGATTGGGTATATGTAAATATCACGTTCAAGTTCTTCAGTGGAACTTGTAACCACACTTTTTTGAACTAAATGCAGTCAAAGTGGTAATTTAGGAATGCACACCCATCTGTTTCCCAAGTTCAACTATTCTGTCTTCTAGCCTTTGACTGTGATTTGTTCAGGGACTTTAGTATCTGATGGAGTGCTTCAAAGTACTATCAGGGAACCGTCCTTGTAATATCTAGCTTTTTGGATGTATAATATCTATAGGTTTGATAAGGCCACTAAATACTTAAGGCAGTTCCCAATGACCTAGGATTCTGAATTAGAATTTTTAACTTTTTATTATGAAAAACTTCAAACATGTACAAAAGTAGAGTAGATAGGATAATGAAAGTCCAGGTATTCACTACCCAGATTCAATAGTGGAATAAATGCTTCTGGTGCCCTACATCACAGCCTCTTTCTCCACCTTGCTCAGCCAGAGCTGGGGTAGACAGTTCTATGTAAGCTCAGACTCACATCACCCTAACAAACAGTATCCTGCCCCAAAATCAAGTTTCTCTCTTCTGCTTCTGCCCTCAAGGCCTTCATGAAAGCCAATCCACATGAAAACACCTCCTAGCCTTGGAGATAACCCTCAAATGAGGGGGACAATAACTGGTGGATGAGAGCTGCAACCTCTCATCCATCAAAGGGAGAGTTCTGGGAGAATGTTCTATAGCTTCCCCCAAGCAGTCTAACCAGAATTCAGCCCTTGTTGCCCAATGCAGCAACCTCATAATGCACCTTTGCACTGACTTTTTTTCTTTCTCTAATTCTCCTTACTACCTCGCTCCTGCTTCCTGGAATAACACCCTAAATATACTAACTGCACCCATGTCCTTGCCTCAGACTGCTGTGGAGGAATCCAACTAAGACAAATAGTTTAAAATTTTTTAGCACATATACACCATGGAATACTATGCAGCCATGAAAAATGATGAGTTCATGTCCTTTGTAGGGACATGGATGAAGCTGGAAACCATTATTCTCAGCAAACTATCGCAAGGACAAAAAAACAAACACCGCATGTTCTCACTCACAGGTGGGAATCGAACAATGACAACACTTGGACACAGGAAGGGGAACATCACACACCGGAGCCTGTTGTGGGGTGGGGGGAGGAGGGAGGGATAGCATTAGGAGATATACCTAATGTAAATGACGAGTTAATGGGTGCAGCACACCAACATGGCACATTTATATATATGTAACAAACCTGCACGTTGTGCACATGTACCCTAGAACTTAAAGTATAATAAATAAATAAATAAATAAATAAATAAATATAAAAATTAAAAAAAAATTTAGCATTCTTATTTCACCTATCCTGTAATATTGTGGAGCATTTTAAAGTGTTTTTAAAGCTTGACTTTTTAAAATTTAATAGAAATAGGAAGGAAAGAAATCAACTCAACATGGAAGCTGATCTGTGATCAAGCTGTGTGTCACCAAGGTAAACCTATATACCTTGGTGAATTATTGCCCCTAAATATCATCTCTTTCCTTAATATAAAATCATTATTAAGTACATTATTTCAAATAATACTTTAATGTGATGGTGAAATGAAAAATATGATGGAGATTCATTTTAGTTTACCTCAAGGATGGTCTGTGTCAGCAGGGTGCCCTTTTTTTCCCCGAGACAGAGAGACAGAGTCGTGCTCTTCCACCCAGGCTGGAGTGCAGTGGCACAATCATGGTTCACTGCAGCCTCAAACTTCTGGGTTCAAGTGATCTTCCTGCCTCAGCCTCCCAAGTAGCTGGGACTACAGGTGTGCACTACCACACTCGACTAATTTCTTTGTGTATCTTGTTGAGATGGGGTCTTCTATGTTGCCCAGGCTGGTCTCAAACTCCTGGCCTCAAGCGATCCTCCAACCTTGGCCTCCCAAAGTGTTGGGATTACAGGCATGAGCCACCATGCCCAGCCCAGGATGCCCATTATGTGGCTCTTGAAAATGAACTATGAGGCCGGGTGCAGTGGCTCATGCCTGTAATCCCAGCACTTTGGGAGGCTGAGGCAGGTGGATCACCTGAGGTTGAGAGTTCGAGACCAGCCTGGCCAACATGGTGAGACCCTGTCTCTACTAAAGACACAAAAATTAGCCAGGCATGGTGCCTGTAATCCCAGCTACTCAGGAGGCTGAGACAGGAAAATTGATTGAACCCAGGAGGCAGAGGTTGCAGTGAGCCAAGATCGTGCCACTGCACTCCAGCCTAGGGGACAAAGAAAGACTCCATCTAAAAAAAAAAAAAAAAAAAAAAAAAAAAAAAAAACAACTATGAGAAATGCTGACTGTTCAAAAACTCCCCAGGGCTGTTCACAGGAGTCTGTGAACTTCATCAAAACGTATGCTGATGTGTGTATATCCACATGTTCAGTCATTTTCCTGGAGGAAAAAGTCAGTAGCTTTCACCAGATTCTAAAGCAAGTCCTTGACCAAAAAAGGGTTAAGAAACACTGATGAAGGGATATCGGGCACTATGACCTCTGAGTAGGGATGACTTTATTGTAGAGAGAAAGTGCTTCTGGAACTCTTTAAATCATTCTACGTGGCTGATCATCATCTTCACCAAATTGCACAGTTAGCCTCATTATGTGAATCTAACTAGAATTGATATGATTACAATAAAAGGATTTTTCCTGCTCAAGGTCTAGTTTATAAAGAAATTGAATTTTCCCCTCAAGGCTTCATTTATAATAAAATGACTTTTTTTTCTTTCTCAAGGCCTTGTTTTCAACATCTGGATTACATGATCTGGTTCCAATATTTTCCTCAAAGCTATCTCTCCTAGCCTCAAAGAACTTTTGAGAGTTTGCCAATCAACAGGAAAAACATTTAGATTACAATACATGCTCTTTCCAGACTAGCCCTAGTTCTCTCAGATATTTCTGTACCCTGAACTGGTGCACTTCCAGGAATATGAGGGATTTTGCACCAGCTGTTGATGAAACAATTCCTTCCACCTGTGTCTTGTCCAGTCCCTAAATTACTAACTCAGAAAGGAAGTTGGAAAGTTAAAGAGGCACACTTTCTCTAAGGAGCCTTAATTAGGTTTGGCATTTGAGTTTGTGGTGTTTTTCTTTCCCTATTAACAAAGGACTATTTGTACATCATAAATAGAAGTAGAGGAAGAAAATGATATCTTAAATCATCCACTTAAAAACCAAGACAAAAATGGTACAGGTGGCTTTTTAAAAGAAGGAGGAAAAATCCCCTCCACATAAGCCCTTTTCTTGAATAGGCCTCTAACTAGCCCTGGTGCAGCTGCAAGGATGCATTTAATGATTCTGTGATTTATTGCTCTACAGAGGATATTCTCAGCCATCATCTGCAGAAGAGGCCCTAGCAATATGTAGAATGGGAGACTAAGAACGTATTGGAATGGGCTAAATTTTCCATGTGGTTTCCATTTTCTTTCTTATTGTACATCAAAAGTATTTTTTTTAAGAAAACGATTTTTAGCCATCACAAATATCATAAAAGCACCCTGCCCCTAGGGCAGCTTGCAGCAGGCCTGAGCCAGAAACTGTGACTAGAAAGAGAAGGAGCTCAAAACATCCTCCATCTTGAAAGGCGAAGCTTCCTAAAGCCAGTTCTTCGCACAAAATCCTCTCTGATCTGAAGACCTATGACTTCTATTGGGTGTCCCCAGACTAAGTCACGATTGTAAGGTAGTAAAGAGCAGCTAATATCGACTGAGCACTATGGGACACCAAATGCTTTGGGTCATTTACATGGATTATTTCATTTACTACTCAATTTATTGTCTCCATTTTACAGATGAGGAAACTGAGAGCTGAGAGAAGTTAAGTCACTTTACCCAAGGGCACAAAGCCTATGAATGGAAAGCTAGGATTTGATCCCTGGTTTGTATGATTTCAATAGTAGTGCTTTTAACTACTACATAGTTGTCACCCCTTTCTTTTCTTCTAGGGTCCCTCCCTGACCACAAATATAATATAATGTCAGGAATTCCTTATACTATCCCCTAGCTACCTAGGAACTAAAACTACAGTAACCATCTATGCCTGTCCTCCAGAGTAATGCCCCATTGTACAAAATTTCCCATATTATCTAATATCTCCCCATGGAACTCTGGGTTTCCCATCAAATCTTTCAATAAAATTATGGCTTTAAATAATAAAAATCATTTCAGGTCCTCCTAATACTAATTGATAAATTTTTCTTGTATATATCCACCTACCCACATAAACACGCATCCTCTTATTCTACTAGTTCACCTATATTGAGTACTTACTATGTGCCAGACATCAAGTTAATCACTTCACATGAATCTTCTCATGTGCTTCTCCACAGTAACCCTATGAGGTAGCTGCTATTATTACATCTGTTTTACACATGAGAAAACTGAAGCTCAGAAAAGCTCCAAAGTTCAGAAAAGCTCCAAGCAAGTGGAGGAGTTAGGGTTTGAATTCAGATGTGTTTCACTTGAGAGCCCAAACCCCTAAACCACTACATTCTACTTCCCCTTTTCTTAACAGTGATAAGTCATGTTGATCGTACATACCAGTCATATAATGTGGTCAAAATAGCCCTTTACTTCTGTGGAGTTCCTCCCAAATCCCACAGCCCCAGCATAATTATGAGAAAAACATAATACGAATATCAGTGGAGGAACTTTCTAAAAAATACCTAACCAGTACTCCCCAAAACTGTCAAGGTCATGAAAAAGAAGGAAAAAATTCCAGGTGACATCTATGAAAATGATGGAGTAGGGAACTCCTGTGAAAGTTCTCAGAATCAAAATGGAGTCACTGTGGAAAAAAAAAATGACAAATAGAGCCAGGGAAGACCATGAAGGGAGGATTCTCATGCATAAATGACAGATAACAAGAACTTTCAGAAAAGACTGCAAAAACCACAACCTTGCACAAAGGCCATCACAACCTCACACACACAAAAATACTTCTGCAAGGATATCTGCCCATCAGCTGCCTGTCCAGCCTTGGAGTGATGCCACCCTTGTTACTGATCCTTGTAGCCAAGGATAAGTATCTCCAAACAATTAAGTAATCCTCATTTTTCTTTTAAAAACTTTGTCTTCATCTACCTCCCCAAAAACGCACATAGTTTACTAGGACACATATTAACATTGCAATGCTCTATTCCTGAATACATATCATTTTCTTTTGGAGGGCCTCTCTCTGTTTGTTATTTAGGTTGACATAAATGGTGTGCAGAAGTGGGACCTGAAAAAGATCTCTATCCGAAGGAATTGGTGATTATTGGAACTGGTGTACAGCACTCACTTGAGCCCTTTGAGCTCTCTGCTTCTGCAGCCTAGTTTTTCTGCCCTGATGAGTCTTCTGTCAGGCCAAGCCTCTCTCTTTTTGTAGATGATTTTGACTTTATTCAGGACTTGGTAATAAGGCCACCTTAAAAAGAGACCTTACATTCCTCCTAGGATGATAAAAGACTTTTTGTCTTTCTGGTATAAAGACAATGTCCTTCTGGTTTGAGTACTCTAGTTTCTATAGAAGTTACACCCTGTCTGTGAGACATGTCTTTTTCTGGTGAATTTACTTTTGGTTCTTTCTACACACCCAATTTAATATTTTATTTGATCTCCATGCTTCATTTAAAATTCTTATGAGCACTCTAATTTTGATTTCATTTTGGTTTGGTTTTGCATCTCTATAAATGATTTCTCTGTTTTCCCTTGCTTGTTTCTAAAAATCTTCTGAGAGCAAAAATAAAAAATTGTAAATGGTGGGCACAAGGAGGCTGGTCAAAGGCCACTAGGGTGGCTGGGCATGGTGGCTCATGCCTGTAATCCCAGCAGTTCGAGAGGCCAAAACAGGAGGATCACTTAAAGCCATGAGTTTGAGACCAGACTGGGCAATAAACCAAGAGGCCCCCATCTCTCCAAAAAAAAAAAAAAAAAAAACTAGTAAAACTAAAAGTATTTAACAGCCACTAGGGCGATCACCACCATCTAAAACATTAGTCCAAACTCCTGACAGTCTCTAATAGGATTTATAAGATTTTCTTTGCTTTCAAGAGATTAATAAGAAATGGAATGAGATTCTTAAACATTAAGGCATGCCAGGTTTTCTGGGATTCCAGCCAAGTATATTAGAGATTCTAGCGCATATGGTTTGTTTGTTTGTTTGTTTGTTTTTGTTTTTGTTTTGAGATGGAGTCTCACTCTGTCGCCCAGGCTGGAGTGCAGTGGCACAATCTCGGCTCACTGCAACCTCCACTTCCCAGGTTCAAGCGATTCTCCTGCCTCAGCCTCCCAAGTAGCTGGGATTACAGGCGCCTGCCACCATGCCCAGCTGATTTTTTGTATTTTTAGTAGACATGGGGGTTTCACCATGTTGGCCAGGTTGGTTTCAAACTCCTGACCTCAAGTGATTCACCTGCCTCGGCCTCCCAAACTGCTAGGATTATAGGCATGAGCCACCGCGCCCGGCCTAGTGCACATGTTTAAAATAATGGGCAAACTACATCAAGAAAAGTTCAGAGCTCAATGGCCATTATATAAACTGTCTGAGCTTATAAAAAAAAACCTGAAACCAACTATAGAGTTAATACAGAGAGCCTTCTAAGTTCTCTATCTCTCTACTGTTTTTCTGCCTATTTTGAATCTGCTGACTTTTCTACTGGTATTGAGATAAACTCACGACTTGTGGCGTTCCAGCCAAGAAATAAAAGGTCTTAAAAGGCTTTCAAATTAACAGCTTTACAAATTACAACATCTCTATGGCAACCAACAACCTAGACCTAAGAGACATCCCTTTTAACATAAATTTAGGTTTACCTAAATAGCAATAGCTTAGGGTGATGGAACAGTTAATTGAAGAATTAATATTCTATAAGAAATAGAACTAGATAAATGTGTATAAAAGCCTCTCTACTCAAATAGGACAAAATCTTAAGCTCAGAGCAATTATAATATAAGCTATCTTTGTCCAACATAAAAATTGCTTTGTCTGCCATGCAGGGGCCAAAAAAAAAGCCAGAAAAAAAAACTGGAAAAAAAAGCCAGAAAAAAAAGGACGCTTCCCTGCCCACATTAACTTGTCACACAAACCAAACCAACAAACGAAAGATAGATTTGTTAATAAAAATTTAAGGCTACTTGGATATTTGGGTTTCCTTATACAGTTTAGCCAGTTCTAGCTAGAATGTACACATTAAAATTTTAACCTTATATTCATTTGAAACTGAAAAAAAAGGGGGGGGGGACAAAAGGCAAACGGGATTAAAAAAAATCAGGACGCTTTACTCAAAATTTTGGTCCACAGCCTTCATTAGATTACCTATTAGGGCAAATAAAGTTTATTTAGCCTTATGAACAGGTCCCACGTTGTAAGAAGTATAATTTGGATCTAATTACCATTTATAAACTGATGAGTTTTTATTATTATCTCATGGCTAAAATTCCAAAATGAAAGTTATAAGATTCTATGTGAGTGTATATGTATATACGTACACATACTATGTTGCATGTTGTGCCTACATAGTAAAATCTGGTGTAGTCAGCCAGAAATGCCTTAAGAAATTCTATTCAGATTGGTGTAAATACGAATATCATTCAAGGCTACTATGAACACCTTTATGGGCATAAACTAGAAAACCAGAAGAAAGGGATAAATTCCTGGAAATGTACAATCCTCCCAGATTAAGCCAGGAAGAAATAGAAACTGTGAACAGGCCAATAACAAGCAGCGAGATTGAAATAACTAAAAAGCTACCAACAAAAAAAAGTCACGGACCACATGGATTCACAGCTGAATTCCATCAGACATTAAAAGAATTGGTACCAATCCTATTGACACTATTCCAAAAGATAGAGAAAGAGGAAATCCTCCCTAAATCATTCTATGAAGCCAGTGTCACCCTAATACCAAAACCAGGAAAGGACATAACAAAAAAAGAAAACTACAGACCAATATCCCTGGTGAACATAGATGCAAAAATCCTCAAAAAATACTAGCTGTAATTGAATCTAATAGCATATCAAAAAGAGAATACAGCATGATCAAGTGGGTTTCATATCAGGGATGGTGAGATTGTTTAATATATGCAAGTCAATAAATGTGATACATCACATAAAGTTAAAAACAAAAATCATATGATCATTTCAACAGAAGCAGAAAAAGCATTTGACAAAATCCAGCATCCCTTTACGATTAAAACCCTCAGCAAAATCAGCATATAGGGGACATACCTCAATGTAATAAAAGCCACCTATGACAAACCCACAGCCAACATTATACTGAATTGGGAAAAGTTGAAAGCATTGTTCCATTCCTGAGAACTGGATCAAGACAAGGATGCCTACTTTCACCACTTCTGTTCAAAATAGTACTGGAAGTCCTAGCCAGAGCAATTAGACAAGAGAAAGAAATAAAGGGCATCCAAATCAGTAAAAAGGAAGTCAAACTGTCACTGTTTGCCAGTGATACAATCATATACCTAGAAAACCCTAAAGACTCATCCAAAAAGCTCCTAGATCTGATAAATGAATTCGGTAAAGTTTCCTTTACAAAATAAATTTACCCTGCTATATGCTATACACCAAGAGCGACCAAACTGAGAATCAAGTCAACCCCTTTTACAGCAGCTGCAAAAAACAACAACAACAACAACAACAACTTAGGAATATACCTAGCCAAAGAGGTGAAAGATCTCTACAAGGAAAACTACAAAACACTGCTGAAACAAATCATTGATTAACACAAACAAATGGAAACACATCCCATGCTCATGGATGGGAAGAATCAATATTGTGAAAAATCACCATATTGCCAAGAGTAATCTACAAATTCAATGCAATTCCCATCAAAGTACCATCATCATTCTTCACAGAGCTAGTAAAAACAACCCTAAAATTCATATGAAACCAAAAAAGAGCCTGCATAGCCAAAGCAACACTAAGCAAAAAGAACAAATCTGGAGCCATCACATTACGTAACTTCAAGCTATACTACAAGGCAGTAATTACCAAACCAGCATGGTACAGGTATAAAAACAGACATGTAGACCAATGGAACAGAATAGAGAATACAGAAATAAAGTCAAATACTTACAGCCAACTGATCTGCGGCAAAGCATACAAAGACATAAATTGGGGAAAGGACACCCTATTCAATAAATGGTGCTGGGAAAACTGGCAAGACACATGTAGAAGAATGAAACTGGATCCTCATCTCTCACCTTATACAACAATCAACTCAAGATGAATCAAAGACTTAGATCTAAGACCTGAAACCATAAAAATTCTAGAAGGTAACGTCAGTAAAACTCTTCTAGATGTTGGCTTAGGCAAAGAGTTTATGACCAAGAACCCAAAAGCAAATGCAACGGAAACAAAAATAAGTACATGGAACCTAATCAAACTAAAAAGCTTCTGCACAGAAAAAGAAATAATCAGCAGAGTAAACAGACAACGCACAGAATGGGAGAAAATATTCACAAAACTATGCATCCAGGGAAGGACTAATGCTCAGAATCTACAAGGAACTCAAATAAACTAGCAAGAAAAAAAAAATAACCCCTTCAAAAAGTGAGCACACAGCATGAATAGACAATTCTCAATAGAAGATGTACAAATAGCCCACAAACATGAAAAAATGCTCAACATCACTAATGATCAAAGAAATGCAAATTAAAATGACAATGAGATACCACCTTACTCCTGCAAGAATAGCCATAATTTAAACTAAAAAATAACAGATATTGGCATTGATATGGTGAAAAGGGAACACTTTTACACTGCTGGTGGGAATGTAAACTAGTACAACCACTATGGAAAACAGTATGAAGACTCCTTAAAGAAGTAAATGTAGAACTACCATCTGATTCAGCAATCCCACTACTGGGAATCTACCCAGAGGAAAATAAGTCATTATATGAAAAAGATACTTGCACACGCATGTTTATAATAGCAGCACAATTCGCAATTGCAAAAATAAGGAACCAACCTAAATACCCATCGACCAACTAGTGGATTAAGAAAATGTGGTATATATACACCATGGAATACTACTCAACCATAAAAAGAAATGAAATAATGGCATTCACAGCAACCTGAATGGAGTTGGAGACCATTATTCTAAGTGAAGTAACTCAGGAATGGAAAACCAAACATCGCATGTTTCACTTATAAGCAGGAGCTAAGCTATGAGGATGCAAAAGCTTAAGAGTAATATAATGGACTTTGGGGACTTGGGAGGAAGGGTGGGAGGTGGGTGAGGAATTAAAGACTAGACGTTGGGTGCAGTGTACATTGCTGGAGTAATGGGTGCACCAAAATCTCAGAGATTACCACTAAATAACTTATCCATGTAACAAAAAACCACCTGTTCTCTAAAAACTAATGAAACAAAAATAAAAAATAAAAAAGAAGCTCCTTCAAGTAGTTTTTGGAACAATTTCATCTCATTGTTTTAAAGTCATACCATGTCTATCTTAAAATGAGATGTATGTTAATTGCATACATAATTTTGTTG
Source organism: Homo sapiens (assembly GCF_000001405.40). NCBI lineage: Eukaryota > Metazoa > Chordata > Mammalia > Primates > Hominidae > Homo > Homo sapiens. Next base: position 120,561 of record NW_021160027.1, on the reverse strand, counting down.
AACTCCCGTCTTTGCCAGGCACTGTTCTAAGCATCTTACAAAGATCACTACAAATATTTATGAATTCTCACAATAACCCTGTGGATAGGCACTATTATTATCTCTGTTTTATAGGTATAGGAAATGAGAATAAGAAGGTAAAGTCATTTGCCCAAAGTCATGCAGGTAATTTGTAAAACCAGGATTTAGAGTTAGATCTCTATGATTCTGGAGCTCTAGCTCCTTTCACTGCACCCAGAACCCCAAAGTTCATTCCATTTACCTGATTCTTCCACTCTCTTTAACTGCTGTTAAGCTGTTCCAGATGCTTCTGACAATGTCATTCTTTGTTTGAATGCTTGGTTGCCTCTGGCAACAGCTATGGCTGCCATCAACATACCCAATGTCTCTGCTGCTATCACTGCTGTTACCCCACCAAGGTGTCAGGGATACTCCCACTTCCTACAGTAATTACAGGAATTTTCTTCCTGACTCAGATTCCTGGATCTGTGTATTCTAACTATAAAGGATTCGGTACTGTATACTGACCAGGGGACCAAGGCATGTACCACATCCCTGCATTTAATATATATCTGCCAGCCCTACAAAGTTTTATCCTCCTTCTGGCACCTTGGCTGAGACTCCAACAGCTTGTCCTATTATTATACCAAGCATTCTGTAAGCCCTCAGACAGTGGTGCCAGCATAGGCCACGTGGGCAGAAAAGGCCAATCCATATCTAGAATAGATAACCATTCTGCTGAAGAAGAATTGCTGTCCCCTTCAGGATAGAAAGGACCTAAGTAATTGACCTGACATCAGGTAGCCAGTTGGTCTCCCTAAAGAATGATGCTGGATGGAGAGCTGCTGGCAGGTTGAGATTTTAGCTATGGATCTTTGCTGTGGCAGGTGCTAGGTCAGCTTTAGTGATAGGAAGCCTACCCACTGGGAGTACTTCCTTCACCATTGTTCTTCAGAGCTACTGTAGAGTGGGGATATAATGAGATAGCAATCCCCTTCCACATAGTGCCAACATATTGCACTGACCCATCTGTGAATTAGGCCTGAATCCTTTCCTTCTCTATCAGATGACAGCAGCAGACCCCTCAACATGATGCAACATAGATGTGGGCTGAAAGAGGAGTGGTGGTGCAGTGGAAACAGGTGACTTCTGTCTGGGCCATCTGCTCCTACATTTTATTCATGCCTACTAAATGCGCTTAAGCCTAGGCCACGATAGATTGTTGCTGCTCATGCCCATCCTTATAGCTTGGTAGATGAGACTACACCCAATTTATTATGAGAAACTCATACTGCACAGTCATTTGATGCCTGTAGTGGAGACACTCTAAGGCCCCCTCATGAGTCACACTTGTATAATTCCCTCCCCTTGAGTATAGGTGGAACTTGCCACTTGCTTCTAGGCAATAGTGTATGGCAACAGCAATGGGATAATCCCTCCCATGATTATGTTACATTATATATAAGACTCAATCTTGCCAGGCTGAAGTGAGAGTTTCTCCTGCTGGCCTTTAAGAACTAAACTATATTATCCAGGTCTGGTGGGGTGTATCTGCAGTCCTAGTTACTGGGGAGGCTGAGGCAGGAGGATCACTTAAGCCCAGGAGTTTGAAGTTACAGTGAGCTATGATGTTGCCGCTATGCTCCAGCCTGGGCAACAGAGTGAGACACAGAAAGACCCTATACTGTCTCTAAAAAAAAAAAAACAGAAGAAAGAACTAAACTGCAATGTTGTAAAATGACCTGTGAGAGGGACATGTGGCAAGGAACTGTGGGCAGTCTCTAGGACTGAGAGGTCTCTGGGCAACAACCAGAAAGAAAACAGGGATCTCAGTCCTATAGCTGCAAGGAATTTAATTCTACCAACAACCATGTAAGCTTGAAAGAGGATCCCAAGCTCCAAAAAGGAATGCAACCTGGCCAACACCTTGATTGCAGCTTTCTGGCCCTGAACAGAGGACTCAGCTAAGCCAACACCAGATTCCTGGAGGAAACTAGGAGATAGTACATGTATGGGTTTTTTAGGTGCTAAGTTTGTGATAACATTGCAACTCAGCAAACTTTAACTCAGTAAACTTTAGTTTTGACAGTTTATGTACCCATGTAACCACTCAGAACAAGATATGTAACGTTTCCATCACTCCAGAAAGTTCCTTCATGCCCTTTCTAGTTAATCCCCTTATGCCCACCCAGAGGCAACCACTTTCTGATTTCTTTCTCCATAGACTTGTATTGCCTGTTCTTGAAAGTCATATAAATGGAATCGTTCCGTATGCATTTTGTGTGTATGCCTGGCTTCTTTCATGCAAATAATTCAGATGTTTTGAGATTATGAACTGCTTTTGACTCTCCTCATTAATAAGCACAGAATAATTGCTTCTCTCTCCAAGCTGTGATGAAATCTGATTCTGGTTACTTACCAGGAGGCAATGAGGATGGTAGGGTGGATCTTGAGAAAAAAAATACCATCTCACAAGGAACCTTCTTCACATGAAATCATTACCTGGTCTCCATGAAAAGAGAAGTTATTCTTCTCTGGCAAGGGAAAAGAGCTGCTTCAACTAGAAAAAAAAAAAAAAGCACGTTCAGAGAAATATGAGAGGTCATAACACTTGGGTTCATATATATCCCAGATCTCCATGTTCCATTCTTTTCCTATCTGATTTTGGCTTAATGAACCTGACAAGGTTGGACATTTAGTCGTCTTCACAGTTCTGTCACCCTTATTATCAGATCTTGAGTCTAGTTTTTAATACATTCTGTCCCTACAGCTGTGGGAGGTAAGACTCTCCTTTAAAGCTGCTATAGAGGCAGAGCTGCTACTGCCTTCAAATCAGCCATTCTACTCCAAAATCCTTATTAATAACATTGTTTATATATCAGTTAGGCATCAAAGCCACTTGACCTCCCCATATCTTTCCCTCCACCTACACGTCATTCTAATAAAATAGCACATACCACGGGAAAAGCTCAAGTATTTGCAAAGTCACTTCATGCCAGGGTTATGGCCATACCACTTATCACCAGCAATAGGGTCCCTATTGCTTTTAGACAAGTGAAAAATCCAATTCCAAAATCCTATCCTGTCTGTTTTACAGAACCACTTCTAATATCAAATGTCTTTGCCAGGGTCCTCTAGAAAACAGAGTCTGAACAATAATTCAAGTATTAACCATTTGAGTGTGTGCAAACCCAAAGCAACAGGGGTGATGAAAAAGGGTAAGTCAGGCAAAAAAGATGCAAACCAATGTGATGCAATGTATTACCTCACTGGCCATTACTTCAAAAAATCACAAGTCACTTGCCAGGTATGTTTGCTCAGCACATGGGACTTTTTCCAGAATGGTTGAAAGGAAAACAAGGAAAACACACACACACACACACACACACACACACACACACACACATATACATGCACAAACACACATATTTTAGAGTAGTTTTATAAGGGTGAAGTGAACTGTCTGCCTGGCTCCCTCATGCCTCTTGATTTCCATGAGTTAAGGTTCATACCCCAGAGACCCGAATCTCCTTCACTTCTAGGTTGCATCATTTGGTCCCTTGACAGCTTCTCACAAAGCCAAATCCCATACCCATGGTATGGCATTTTACCCAAGTATGGAAGTGGAGTGATAACTTGGCACTGATAGGCTCAGGGTGTAGAATGTGAAGGCCGTTCACGTGCAAGGCTTCAACTTAGAATACCACGTAGCTCTGGGAGCTCACAAGGGATGCCAAAAAAAACCTGAAATGGTAGCAGCACAGTTTGCAAAGCAGATAGCATCTTGGAAAAGAATCTAAGAAGGTACACAAGTTTGTGCCCAATACAGAAGGTTAGTCCAAATAAGACAAAACGGTAGTTTGGACTAGGTTGGTGGCAGTGGGGATGGAGAAAAAAGGACAGATTTAGCGTACATTTTGAAGATAGAGCCAACAGCACTTTCTAGTGAACTGAATGTGAGGACTCAGAGAAAGGGAGGATTCCTGGGTGACCCCTACATTTTTTTACTTGAGTAATTGGATAGACTGTTATATTATTTCTGAGATGTAGGTTATGGGGGAGGAATTAGATTTGGCATTGAAGGAATCAATATTTAGTTAATAATGTCCAAATGTTGGGTCAAAAAACTTTGTGTATTTTTTTCTAAAAACTGAAACAATACACTTAATAATCACATCTCATGATAATTTCGTCTCATAATTCAGCCAAAGATCAATCCTACAAATGGATAGAACCAGTTACCACTTACATGGTGTAGTTGGCAGAGCATGGAACAGCGTGTCCCCAAAAGATCTCCCCCATTCTACTGGCCAGATGCCCATAGCCTGTATTCTGATTTTCTATTCCGGTAACTTAAAACAACAACATTTATGTTGGTCACTGATCTACAACATGGACAATGTTTGTCACAGTAGTATCATGTGGTATCAGCTGGGGCAGCTCAACTGGGAGCTAGAGGACCTGTATCCAAGATGGCTCACTAGCATTGGCTGGCAAAGTGGTATTGGCTGTCAGGTGGGAGTCCAGCCAGGGTGGAAAGCCAGGAGCCTTGATTCCTCTCCACAGGAACCTCTGCATGGGCTTTCTCACAGCATGTGGCTGGATTCCAAGAACAAACACTCCCAGAATAGGAAGATGCCAGTTTCTTCAGATATAGGCCCAGAAACTGACACAGTGTCACTTCTACCATATTCTATTGGTCAGACATTCTCAGAATCCAAATTCAAGGGGAAGGGACTAGGCATCAACTGTCAATGAGAGGAGTGTCAAAAATTTGGGGATCACGTTTTTAAATGATCTTAGTACCCATACTCTGGTACTAATGGTACGTTTGGTTTTATGGGGCAGGTAGGGAGGAGACACCTAAACCATTCATTAAGTGTCTGTTTATATGATTTTGTCAGATGAGCCACTTGATACCCATCAGGTCCCTGAGAGAATGGGAGCCGGCATAGAGATAATAATATAGATTATAATATAGCTACCACTTTTGGGGCACTTACCATGTGCCAGACGTTATTCTGAATTCTTTACATGTATCAACTCATTGGATTCTCTCAATAATCCCAAAAGGTAACTTCATATTATTATCTTTATTTTACAGATGGGGTAATTGAGACATAGATGGGTTAAATGATTTGCCGAACGTTATACAGCCACCAAGTAGGTGAGCTTGGATTCCAGCCCAGATCTATCTAACTCCAGAGTCCACACTCAAAAAAAAAAAATGATGCTATATTGGAAAGGATAGGGATGGGCTTGTCAGAGACAGATGGGCTACTCCAGGCCACAACCCCGAGAGGGCCCAGTGGTTCAATAAGAGTTCCTTTGTAGCAGCCTTACAGGAATAAATACATGTAAAACATTAGAGCAGTTGAGATTTTTCTACCACAGAAGGTTCCTGGTCTCAGAAAGCATGGAAGGAAGAAAATATTCATTCTCTAGTACCTTTTATTTGTCAGCCATTATGCTAAGTGCTTTACATGCATAGATTTCATATAATTCTTGGAATAATCATGTGTTAATTATTGTTATTACCGCCATTTTATACCTGAGGAAACTGAGACTTAGATTATCTAATTTATGCAAGATCACACAGGTGGTAAGTGGCCATTCTGAGGTTCTAGCTGAGATTTGAGATCAAACTCCTACTCTCGATCATTACACATGAAACCTTGGGTTGATGCCTACAAGCAGGGTAGTCTCAGGACTGGGACTGTTACGTAGGGCCCTGGGAAAAAGATGGCTGGAAAAAGTTGGGAGAGAATGAAGGATACCCCATGTCTACCTAGTCTATCATATTGCTCTCAACCAAGCATCACCTCCAGCTAGTTGCCTCTTTTTAGAATGTCTCTTTGTGCCTACTTTCTTTTGTCCAAGAGGTCATTAACAGCCAAGAATATTGACTCTACAGGGCACAAGATAGCTGAACAAATTCATCTCCAATTATTGTCCTCTTTATTCCTAGTTAATTAATAGATAACTATTGAAGAGAGATTAAAATAATTGACTCCCTGATGACATTGAGCAATTAAATTCTTAGCTCTATTCACAAGTCTAATCACTGCCTAAGTGGAGATTAATAGAGATGGATTCCTTCTCCATCTAATTTCCATTTTGCAGCCAATTACCCATTAAAGGCTTCTGACTCTCCAAGATGCTTTCCTGGAAGCAAGTTTAAGTCTTGGCCCAGGGTGTTGGGTGCACCAAAATCTCACAAATCCCCACTAAAGAACTTACTCATGTAACCAAACACCACCTGTTCCTCAATAACCTATGGGAATAAAAAATTTTTTTTAATAAAAATAAAAATAAATCTTGGCCCAGTTAAGCAAATATTTCCAAGCAATTAACTCATTGCTAATTGCAAATAACTAGCTGTCCAGAAAATGGGGAAGGCAGAAGGGAACCTAGATTTTAAGATGTCAATTGGGCCACTTAAACAATTCTTAGAAGTACACTCAAAATGATTAGGTTCAATCCTACTTAGCTTTTTCCTTTGCAGATTTCTAAATCCTGGTAGCCTGGTCCCTGTACCTTCAGCTTCAACCCCTCTCTATTTTGGAAAAACTTACAGCCTCTAGTCTGGAAAGTTATAAAAACCTAAGACTAGAAACCCACCACTCTAAGGCCAGAAGTAGAGTCCAAACTAGGTTTTCAGATTAGTATTCCAGTGTTATATTTGGCCTTCCATCCCACTAATAGGGTATCTCTCCATTCCAGCCTGACCTCAACCTCAATATGCTTCTAGTCATTTTTTTTCCTTCCAAAATGGCTCTCATACTCAGCCTGCCTCACTTTCACTGGCCAGACCTAGACATCAGTTCATGAACTGCTTGTCCTAGAGACACCTCCTATGCATTAGTCTATTCTTGCACGGCTATAAAGAAATATCTGAGATTTGGTAATTTATAAAGAAAAGAGATTTAATTGGCTCACAGTTCTGCAGGCTATACAGGAAGCATAATAGCTTCTGCTTCTGGGGAGGCCACAGGAGACTTACAATCATGGTGGAAAGTGAAGAAGAAGCAGACACATATTATATGGCCAGAACAGGAAGAAGAGAGAAGGGGGGAGGTGCTACACACTTTTAAACAACCAAATCTCACGACAACTCACTCATTCATTATCACAAGAACAGCACCAAAGGGGTGGTGCTAACCCATTCGTGAGAACTCGGCTCCCATGATCCAATCACCTCCCACCAGGCCACACCACCAACACTGGAGAGTACTATGCGACATGAGATTTGGTGGCGATACAGATTCAAACCACATCATCCTGGAAGAGTTCACAGCAGCTCTGTCATTCCTAATCCTAGGTATCATAAGAGCTGAGAGAGGAAGCTACCACTTTCTGACTGATGGCATCAGTCTACTAAGTAGTTGGCAGACTGATCTTATAGACACAAATATCCACCTCTCCAGCAACAGCCCCAGAAGCATTGTCTGCACACAGTACTTCTGTGGGAGCATCTCATCACTGTCTGCAGGGACTTGGCATGACCTGGATCTTGCTTCTGAAAATCTAAGGCACCTACATACAGGAACAAGCAGAACTGCTATCCTTTATTTTCTGTGTTCGCACCTGTTAAATGTCTGGTTCCAGGTCCAAACCTGGAGTTCCGAAGAGCGGTATGTTTCATCTTGGCCTATTTCTGTCCAAACCACCTCTGGCCTGAAGCAATAGCAGCAGCACAGCCCACCCGGACTAGATTTAATTATTTCCAATAGTTACGTGTCTTCTTTACTGAGTAAATTCTCAGAAATGGAAGTTCAGGCATTGTTTCCTCAAGGACCTAAAATTGCACCAATGGTCTGAGTCTCCTCAAAATAAATACACTTTCTCATGGCCAGAAAAATAAAACAGCAAGCTCCAGATTTGCCCCATTTTTATCCTACTGTTTACAGCCTGAGTGGTAATAGTAAAGGGACAAGTATCCACATACCCTCATCTCCAACCTGCTGGATAATCCTGAAGGGATGGCATACATATTTAAAATAAATAAATACCAGTGAGTAGAATACTTACAACTTTGTCCACACATACATGAAAGTACAGCCTTTCAAATACAACTGAGCCAATTGTGAGATTGGTATATATGTTACCAGCCTGGTTGTTTCATTGACCTACTTTCTGTATACATATATATATATATATTCTTTAAAAATACATTGATTTTGGCCAGGCTCAGTGGCTCATGCCTGTAATCCCAGCACTTTGGGAGGCTGAGCTGGGTGGATCACTTGAGGTCAGGAGTTCAACACCAGCCTGGCAAACATGGCGAAACCCCGTCTCTACTAAAAATACAAAAAAATTAGCTGGGTGAGGTGGTGCATGCCTGTAATCCCAGTTACTCAGGAGGCCGAGGCAGGAGAATCACTTGAACCCAGGAGGCAGACGTTGCAGTGAGCCAAGATTGCGCCACTGCACTCCAGCCTAAGCAACAGAGTGAGACTCCATCTCAAAAACAAAACAAAACAAATATATTGATTCTAAGAGTGGGAAAGTTAGGTATTTGTTGAAAGAGCAGCTTTGTTTCTTAGTTTGGTTGCTAAGTTAGGTTGCTAAGCAGCAGCAGAGAGAGATACAGAAGCACTTTAAGCCTTTGGTTTGAGAACTTACATTTAAGTCTTTAATCCATTTTGAGTCAATTTTTGAATATGGTATAAGATAAATGTCCAATTTTATTCTTTAGCATGTGGATATCCAGTTTTCCCAATACCATCTATTGAAGAGACTTTCCTATCCTCATTGTGTATTCTTGGTGCCCTTGTCAAAAACTAGCTAACCATATATGCATGGTTTTATTTTTTATTTCTGAGGTCTCTATTTCTTTCCATTGGTCTATGTGTCTGTTTTTATGCTGGTACCATACTGTTTTGATTACTATAACTTTGTAATATAGTTTGAAATCAAGGCGTGTGATGCCTCTAACTTTGTTCTTTTTTCTCAAGATTGCTTCGGCCATTCAGGGTCTTTTGTGGTTCCATATGAACTTTAGGATTGTGTTTTCTATCTCTGTGAAATATGCCATTGGAAATGTGATAGGGATTGATGGCATTGAACCTGTAGATCATTTTGGGTAGTATAGACATTTTGACAATATTAATTATTCCAATTTATGAACATGACATATTTTCCATTTATTTTAGTAATATAATTTTCCATTTTTTAAATACATTTTCCTTTCATTTTTATAATACAATTTCTTTCATTAATGTCTTATAGTTTTCAGTGTACAGATCTTTCACCTCCTTGGCTAAATTTATTCCTAAGTATTTTACTCTTTTTAATGCTAGAGTGAAATTGGACCCTTTTCTTACACCATGTGCAAAAATAACTCAAAATGGATTAAAGACTTAAATAGATCTGAAACAAGGTCTGAAATCACAAAACTCCTCAAAGAAAGCATAGGGGAAAAGCTCAACATTTGTCTTGGCAGTGATTTTTTTTTTTTGACACGACACCAAAACACAGGCAATAAAAGCAAAAATAAACAAATGGGACTACACAGCAAAAGAAACAATCAACAAAATGAAACTACAACTTTCAGCATGGGAAAATATTACAAACCATATATCTGATAAGGAGTTAATATCTAAAATATATAAGGAAATCACACAACTCAATAGCAAAAAATAATAATAATAACCTGATTATAAAATGGGCAAATGATCTGAATAAACATTTTTCCAAAGAAGATATTCAAATGGCCAGCAGGTATATAAAAAGATGCTCAACATCACTAATCATCAGGAAAATGCAAATAAAAATCACCATGAGGTATCATTTCATACCTGTTCAGATGGCTATTATCAAAGACAGAAGTAACATGTGTTGGAGAGGGTATAGAGTAAAAGGACCCCTTATGCACTGTTGGTGCAAATGTAAATTTATTAAACCACTGTGGAAAACAGTATAGTGGTCTCTTGTATTAGGACAGAACTAATAGGATATATGTATATATAAAGGGGAGCTTATTAAGGAGTATTGACTCACATGATCACAAGGTGAGGTCTCACAATAGGCTATCTGCAAGCTGAGGAGCAAGGAAGCCAGTCTGAGTCCCAAACCTCAAAAGTAGGGAAGCCGACAGTGCAACAGCCTTCAGTCTGTGGTCGAAGATCCAAGAGTACTTACGGTCTAATGTTCGAAGGCAGGAAGCATCCAGTCGGAGAAAAAGATTTGGCCGAGAGACTAAGCCAATCTAGTCTCTCCACGTTCTTCTGTCTGCTTTTATTCTGGCCAGCTGGTAGCTGATTAGATTGTGCCCACCTGGATGGAGGGTGGGTCTGCCTTTCCCAGTCCACTGACTCAAATGTTAATCTCCTTTGGCAACACCCTCTCAGACACACCCAGGAACAATACTTTGCATCCTTCGATCTAGTCAAGTTGACGCTCAATATTAACCATCACATCACTCAAAAAATGTAAAATGAATTACCATACAATCCAGCAATACCACTTCTAGGTATATATCCAAATAAAATGACATCACTATGTCAAAGAGACATCTGTGTTCCCATATTTATTGCAGCACTATTCACACTAGCCAAGACATGAAATCAACCTAAGGGTTCATCAATGGATTAATGGATGAAGAAAACGTCACATACGCACAAACACACACAGAGAGAGAGAGAGAGAGAGAGGGAGAGAGAGAGAGAGAGAAATATTATTCAGCCATATAAAAGAAGGAAATTCTGCCACTTGTGACAACATGAATGAACCTGGAGGACATTATGCTAAGTGAAATAAGCCAGATACAGAAAGACAAATGCTGGATGATCTCACTTATATGTAAAATCTTAAAAAGTTAAAATCGCAGAAGCAGAGAGTAGAGCAGCAGTTGCCACGGGCAACCTGTGCTGGAAGAATGGGGAGAAGTTGGTCAAAGAGTACAAACTTACAATTATAAGATGAACCAGTTCTGGGGCTCTAATATACACCATGGGTGGTCAGAGAGGTGTTAATTAATTTGATTATGAAACATTTCACAATGTATATGTGTATTAGATCATCACACTGTACACCATGATTATATTAAATCTTTGTCTATTAAATATTTCTAGAAGACTTTATTATTGGGTTAAAGAAAATGAGTGACACTGTATTGCTCACAAATCCGCCACTTGAAAGCCCCACAAAATTAGCTGGCCACTAAGGCTGCCAAGGGTTTAGAAAGCCTTGTCTTACAGGCTGGAAAGCAATAAGGCTTCTGATCCAGAAGTTGATAAGGGAAATCATCCAGGACTTCAAAATAGATTTCAGTTTCCAGAGTGCAGCCACAGAGTGCTTCAGAAGACTGGGGAAGCATACCTGGTGCTGTTATTTGAAGATTTTAACCTTTGCGTCATCTGTGATGAGAGAGTCTCTAACGTGCCTTAGGATGCCCTGTTAGCCTGCTTGATATGGCGAAAAAGAGCTTAAGTTAAGGCAGTTTTTATGGTGTTTAGTAGTAAATTATGCAAAATGTTTTGCCTTAACTTGTTACTTTATTGCAAGGAAATATTTATATATTGCATGTGAGCTTAAGTCATCCCCTCACTCAAGATGGTGTGAAAAGTAACTACTCAGATTCAGTGACATGAGCCCTGTTGTTCAAGAGTGGCAAACTGCTGCATGAAGAATGGGTGGATGATAGTTTTTCCATGTTTCTGTATATTAATGAGTTGTTGGGTAGTAATTACAATAGTAGAATTGATTAAATGCATTAGAGGGCCTTTTTTCAATTATTGGTTATGAGTTGATCCAAGTGTTCAATAATTGAGGCTATTAAAAAAGAACCTGAACCTGAATAAGCATCAACAGCCAACCACTACTTTATAGGAAATAAAGAGGACAGAGAAAAATGTTAAACACTATGGGAAAGCTTTCAGCAAAATCCAGGATGTCAAAAACTCTACTAAATAAACCATCCAGTTTCTTCAACAAATAAATTACCAAAAATAAAGAGATAGGAGGGGAACCTGTAAATTAAAGTAAATATGAGACGTATCAACCAATAACAGTGTATGGATGGCAACTGTGGGATAGGGTGGGGTAGAGTTGGGAAAGTAGTGGGGATATAGAAGTAACAAGATTGATTATTAGTTAATAGTTGTTGAATCTGAGTGATGGGAACATGGGGTTTCTTTATACTGTTCTGTCTACCTTTGTATCATAATGAAAATATAAAGTATACCTACCAAAAAAAAAACCCAGGGTCTGAGGAATTTGACCATATACTTTTGTGATAGAACATGGGCTTTTCCATGAGTGAAATTTAAAGTTTCCTTAGATAGATAGATAGATAAATAGATAGATAAAATTTTTTATTTTTTTATACTTTCAACTTCTATTTTACATTCAGGGGTACATTTGCAGGTTTGTTACACTGGCATGTTGCATGATGCTGAGGTTTGGGGTACAACTGATCCCATCACTCAGGTAGTGAGCATGGTACCCAATAGGTAGTTTTTCAACCCTTGCCCACCTCTGTCCCTCCTTGCTCTTACTAGTCCCCAATGTCTATTGTTCCCATCTTTATGACTATGTGTACCAAATGTTTAACTCCCACTTATAACTGAGAACAAGTGGTATTTGGTTTTCTGGTCCTGCTTTAATTCACTTAGGATCATGGCCTCTAGCTGCATTCATGTTGCTGCAAAGGGCATGATTTTGTTCATTTTTATGGCTGTATAGTATATCATGGTGTATATGTACCACATTTTCTTCATACAATCCACCATTGATGGACATCTAGGTTGATTCTATGTTTTTGCTATTGTGTATTGTGCTGTGATGAACATACAAGTGCATGTGTCTTTTTGGTATAACAGAATGATTAATTTTCTTTTGGATATATACCCAGTAATGGGATTGCTGGGTCAAATAGTAGTTCTAAGTTATTTGAGAAATCACCAAACTGCTTTCCACAGTGGCCAAACTAATTTACATTCACACCAACAGTATGTAAGTGTTCCCTTTTCTCTGCAGCCTTGTCAACATTTGTTGCTTTCTGACTTTTTTAATAATAGCCATTCTGACTGGTGTGAGATGATATCTCATTGTGGTTTCGATTTGCATTTCTCTGATGATTAGTGATGTGGCTCATTTGTTCATGTTTTTTGGCCACTTGTATGTCTTTCTTTCTTTTTTTTCTTTTCTTTTTTTTTTTTTTTTTTTTTTTGAGATGTAATCTCGCTCTGTTACCCAGGCTGGAGTGCAGTGTCACGATCTTGGCTCACTGCCATCTCCGCCTCCTGGGTTCAAGAGATCTTCCTGCCTCAGCCTCCCGAATAGCTGGAGTTACAGGCGTCCGCCATCACACCCAGCTAATTTTTGTATTTTTAGTAGAGATGGGGTTTCACCATGTTAGGCAGGCTGGTCTCGAACTCCTGACCTTGAGTGATCCACCCGCCTCAGCCTCCCAAAGTGCTGGGATTACAGGCGTGAGCAACCGTGCCCGGCCTGTTTCTTTAGTTTAATTATAGTTTCTTTAGTTTATTTAGTTCCCACTTGTCAATTTTTGTTTTTGTTGCAATTACTTTTGAGGACTTAGTCATGAATTATTTCCCAAGGCCAATGTCCAGAATGGTATTTCCTAGGTTTTCTAGGATTCATATAATTTAAGGTCTTACATTGAAATCTTTAATCCATCTTGAGTTAATTTTTGTATACGGTAAAATTTCTGGGTCCAGTTTCATTTTTCTGCAAATGGCTAGCCAGTTATCCCCACACAATTTATTGAATAAAGAGTCTTTTCCTATTGCTTATTTTTGTTGACTTTGTCAAAGATCAGATGCGTGTAGGTGTGCAGCTTTATTTCTAAGTTCTCTATTCTGTTCCATTGGTCTATACGTCCGTTCTTGTATCAGTACCATGCTGTTTGGGTTACTCTAGTCTTTTAGTATAGTTTGAAGTTAAGTAGTGCAATGCCTCCAGCTTTGTTCTTTTTGCTTAGGATTGGTTTGGCTCTTCAGGCTCTTTTTTAGTTCCATATGAATTTTACAATAATTTTTTTACTAATTCTGTGAAAAATGATGTTGGTAGTTTGATAGGAATAGCATCGACTCTGCAAATTGCTTTGGGCAGTATGGCCATTTTAACAATACTGATTTTTCCAAATCATGAGCATGGAATGTTTTTCCATTTATTTGTGTAGTCTCTGATTTCTTTCAACATGTTTTGTAGTTCTTTTAGTAGAAATCCTTCACCTCCTTAGTTGTCTGTATTCCTAGGTATTTACATTTTTGTGGCTATTATAAATGAGATTGTATTCTTGATTTGATTCTCAGCTTTAACATTATTGATGTATATCCAGGGACCTAAGTTAGTTCCCTCCAGCCCTTTTAAAAGACACTAACCCATTCAAGGGGGTGTAGTCCTCATGACTTAGTCACTTTCCAAAAGGCCCCACCTCTTAATTAAGGATTAAGGATTAAAGAAACTTAATTGAGGATTAAGTTTCAACACATAAATCTTGGAGGACAAATTCGAACCATAGCAAGAAGGCTCATAACTTCCATCAGATTCTCAAAGAATATCAACAATCACTGCCTTGAACAAAGGCAACACACACACACACACACACACACACATCCCGTCTTTAGGGATGTTTCAGTTTCTGATCTCATCCTGGCAGGCACTATAGCTGCTTCTGCACATGAGAAATAGTTGACCTGATCTCACCTACCACTTCTTTTCTTTTTTCTTTTCTTTTCTTTCTTTCTCTCTTTCCTCCCTTCTTTCTTTCTTTTTTCCTTCTTTCTTTCTTTTTTTGGCACTTCCTTTAGGAATCTTCCCTGTCTTGATGTTTACTTCTCTGGCTATAAGGACTTGCACGGTGTGTCCATGGTTATACCTCATATTATAAGTCATTTCCAGCTACATCATTCTCACACCTACTCACCCTGAACTCTACCTTCACCTCATCCTACTTGGGTTGTCCGACTCCCATGTTCCTGCTGCTGGTCCTTCCAAGCATACCTACTAACTAATGACCCCTACCTAAAGTCTCAGATCTCTGTCCCTAACCATTCTTGGCCTCAGCTCCTCACCTGGCCCTCAGCATGTGATGAGTACAGAATGATGAAAGCAGTCTAATTGGAAAAAAAAAATGTTTCATGGAGTGAAGCAAAGGGAGATGAAATTGGACTGGATTAAGTTCAGATCAAGTTCCAAAGGTCCTTGAAGTAAGGCTGGGGAACCACTGGACATATTATAACTGGGAAAATAGCATGACTAAAGCAATGCTTTAGTACATCATTTCTGAAAAAAAGGTGTGGTATGTAATATTAATTGATGTTACATGAAAAAAAGTTATGTGGGCAATTAAGTTTGGGGAATGTAGGGTTAAAGTTAGAGATGGTTCTTTATTGCAGGACTTCTCAGACCCTTTAACATGATAATAAACATAGTGAATCTTCAGGAGGGATTTGAATGTGCCCTGGTTCTTAAACTCACATTAGCACAAAATCCTCCTTTTAATGAGGAGCATGTATCAGGGCTAATGTTTCCCAAAGCACAGTTTGAGAAACAGGATTTTAGGAAGATTGATCTGGCAAGGTATGCAAGAGAATTTGAAGTGAGATGAACCTGAGCCAGGAGACTATTGGCAGCAAAGCAGGTATAGTGGAATAGCAGACCACCCTGCCCTCAGCAGTGAGAATTAAGTGGAACAGGTGATCCCAGAAGCTTTGTGAAAAACAACAGTGGGGATTGGGGTTAAACATCTGGTGGAAGACTGAAACCGTGCTTTTTACTTTTATACTGTAGCATCAAGAAGAAAACTTTGCCATGTGAGAGAAAGATGTACTCTTTTGGTCGCTATGTTATTTCCATCCCAGGGATTTAACAAAATTATTTTTTCTATTCCACGTTAAAAGTTTACCTTGCGTTGGCCAGGCATGGTGGCCCACACCTATAATCCCAGCACTTTGGGAGGCCGAGGCGGGTGGATCACCTGAGGTCGGGAGTTCGAGACCAGCCTGACCAACATGGAGAAACCCTGTCTCTACTAAAAATACAAAATTAGCCAGGCGTGGTGGCACATGCCTGTAATGCCAGCTACTTGGGAGGCTGAGGCAGGAGAATCACTTGAACCCGGGAGGCAGAGGTTGCGGTGAGCCGAGATCATGCCATTGCACTCCAGCCTGGGCAACAAGAGCGAAACTCCGTCTTAAGAAAAAAGAAGAAGAAGAAGTTTACCTTGTGTTTTTGTACAATTGGTGCAATTTGCAAAATGTCTCCCACCTGTCATTAGCTCGCTGTTCATGTTGCAACTAAAAAGGAGATTGGAAGCTATCTAAATAGAGTTTCTTTCTATCCAGTTACAAAGCTGATTGTGTATTTTGGTAAGAGTTTTGGACAGAATATTTGCTTGAAAGAAAAGAAGAGGGAGAGAATAAGGAGGAGTAAGATAAAGAGGGAACAGTCTATCCCAGGAATGTTTTAATTTGTTACTCAGCCCCTCATCCCCACTCCAAGAGCTTTCTAGGATGATAGCCTGTAGCCAATAGTTATAAGGCTAATAGTTATATAGGTTACAATGTTGATTACATTAAAAAACACTCAACATTAACAGTTAACAAGTTCATAGCCAGAGATATCTGACTGAGGTAAGAAATTCCTAAGCACAACTAGAGGTATATTTGCTTGGTTAATCAGAGTTTCCAGAGTTAGTATCCATGACTTAAAATCCTCATGTCCTGGATCTCTTAATTGATGCTAAGTCCGTTATAACAAATTGTGGAGTTCAGGCTGTTCTCCCAAAAGATAACATTAGCTTCACCTTTCTGGTAACATTTTGAAATTAACCAACATGTTTCTAAGACTTCTGATAGCCCCTTTTAGCAGCGGCAGTCCTGGTAAAAGCAGAAGGGGAATAGTTTCCTAAAAAAAGTTCAAATAGTCTCCAGCCTTTCATCCACACCATCAGGATTAACATGGCCACCAGAGATTCTTAGATGATAAATGCAACCCCAATTTAGGCAGAGCTTGACTGGACTGGCATCCTCTTGAGAGAAAACATCCATCCCCAAGAATGCTGCTTTATTTATATAAACTTAGAGACAGCAAAATCCACATATCAGTCTGTGCCTGTTTCCTTACCTGTAAAATGGAGATGATAACAGCACCTACTTCATATGGTTGAGGTAAAGATTTAATGAGTTCATACATGTGAAATGCTGAGTATAGCACCTGACAACAATAAGTGCTCATTAAGTATTAACTATTTTTTTCATTATTTATTATGGTTAGTGTTAGATTAATACATTATCAAAGCCCAACAATCTAACAAGATACAACCATATAGTGGCTGGCAGAGAGATTCCCTTTTAGGAGCTTAGCCAATTTATGTCATTCATATCTATACATTTCTAACCCAGCAATCTCATTTCTGGGTATTTGCCCAAAAGATTTTATATCAGTTTGTCAAAAAGATGTCTGCACTCCCATGTTCATTGCAGCACTATTCATATTAGCTAGGTTATGGAATCAATCCAAGTGTCCGTCATCAGATGAATGGATAAAGAAAATGTGGTATATATACATAATGGAATACTATTCAGCCGTGTGTGTGTGTGTGTGTGTGTGTGTGTGTGTGTGTGTGTGTGTGAATTTTTATTTTAGGTTTGGGGATACATGTGAAGGTGTGTTACATAGTTAAACACGTGTCACGAGGGTTACTTGTACATATTGTATGACCCAGGTATTAATCTCGGTACCTAATAGTTATGTTTTCTGCTCCTCTCCCTCCTCCCACCCTTTCCACTCAAGTAGACCCCAGTGTTTTTTGTTTTCTTCTTTGTGTTCATAAGTTCTTATCATTTAGCTCCCACTTATAAGTGAGAACATATGGTATTTAGTTTTCTGTTCTTGCATTAGTTTGCTAAGGATGATAGCCTCCAGTTCCATTCATGTTCCCGCAAAAAAAAAAAATGCTATCTCATTCTTTTTCATGGCAGCATAGTATTCCATGGTGTATATGTATCACATTTTCTTTATCCAATCTGTCATTGATGGGCATTAAGGTTGATTCCATGTCTTTGCTATTGTGAGCAATGCTGCAATGAACATTCACGTGCATGTGTATTTATGGTAGAATGTTTTATATTCCTCTGGGTATGTACCCAGTAACAGGATTGCTGGGTCAAATGGTAGTTCTGCTTTTAGCTCTTTGAGGACTCACCATACTGCTTTCCACAATGGTTGAGCTAATTTACACTCCCACCAAAAGCGTGTAAGTGTTCCCTTTTCTCTGCAACCTCACCAGCAGCTGTTATTTTTTGACTTTTTAATAATAGCCATTCTAACTGGCATGAGATGGTATCTCATTGTGGTTTTGATTTGCATTTCTCTAATGATCAGTGATATTGAGCTTTTCTTCATATGCTTGTTGGTCGCATTGAGAAGTGTCTTCTTTGAGAAGTGTCAGTTCATGTGCTTTGCCCACTTTTTAATGGGATTGTTTGTTTTTCTCTTGTAAATTTGCTTACGTTTCATATACATGTTGGATATTAGACCTTTGACAGATGCATAGTTTGCAAATGTTTTCTCTCATTCTGTAGGTTGTCTGTTTACTCTGTTGATAGTTTCTTTTTCTGTGCAGAAGCTCTTAAGTTTAATTAGATCTCATTTGTCAATTTTTTGCTTTTGTTGCTATTGCTTTTGGTGTCTTTGTCATGAAATCTTTGCTCACTCCTATGTCCAGGATGGTATTGCCTAAGTTGTCTTCCAGGGTTTTTATAGTTTTGGGGTTTACATTTAAGTCTTTAATTCATCTTGAGTTAATTTTTGTATATGGTGTAAGGAAGGGGTCCAGCTTCAATCTTCTGCATATGGCTAGCCAGTTATCCCAGCATCATTTATTGAATAGGGAGTCTTTTCCCCATTGCTTGTCTTTGTCAGCTTTGTCAAAGATCAGATGGTCGTAAATGTGAAGCCTTATTTCTGGGCTCTCTATTCTGTTCCATTCATCTATGTGCCTGTTTTTGCACCGGTACCATGCTATTTTGGTCACGGTAACCTTGTAGTATAGTTTCAAGTTGGGTAATGTGATTCCTCCAGCTTTGTCCTTTTTGCTTAGGATTGCCTTGGCTATTCAGACTCTTTTTTGGTTCCATAGAAATTTTAAAATAATTTTTTCTAGTTCTGTGAAGAATGTTGTTGGTAGTTTGATAGGAATAGCATTAAATCTGTAAATTGCTTTGCACAGTATAGCCATTTTAATAATACTGATTCTTCCTATCAATGAGCACAGGATGTTTTTCCACCTGTTCTTCTCTGATTTCTTTGAGCAGTGTTTTGTAATTCTCATTGTAGAGATCTTTCATCTCCTTGGTTAACTGTATTCCTAGGTATTTTATTTTTTTGTGGCAATTGTGAATGGGATTGCCTTTCTGGGTCAGTTCTCAGTTTGGTTGTAGGTGGTGTATAGGAATGCTAGTAATTTTTGTACATTGATTATGTATCCTGAGACTTTGCTGAAGTTGTTTATCAGCTGAAGGAGCTTTTGGGCTGAGACTATGGGGTTTTCTAGATATAGAATCATGTCATCTGCAAACAGAGATAGTCTGACTTCC
This sequence comes from Homo sapiens, assembly GCF_000001405.40. Lineage (NCBI taxonomy): Eukaryota > Metazoa > Chordata > Mammalia > Primates > Hominidae > Homo > Homo sapiens. Next base: position 100,990 of record NW_021160027.1, on the reverse strand, counting down.
TCTCTTCCTATTAGGATGCCCTTTATTTCATTCTCTTACCTGATTGCTCTGGCTAGGACTTCCAATACTATGTTGAATAGAAGTGGTGAAAGACAGCATCCTTATCTTGTGCTGGTTTTCAAGAGCAATACTTCCAGCTTATGCCCATTCAGTATAAAGTTGGCTGTGGATTTGTCATAGATGGCTCTTATTATTTTGAGGTATGTTCCTTCAATAACTAGTTTATTGAAAGTTTTTAACATGAAAGGATGTTGAATTTTATCAAAAGCCTTTTCTGCATCTGTTGAGATAATCATGGTTTTTGTCTTTAGTTCTGTTTATGTAATAAATCACATTTATTGATTTGCATATGTTGAATCAAACTTGCATCCTGGGGATGAAGCCTACTTGATCATGGTGGATTAGCTTTTTGATGTGCTGCTGGATTCAGTTTGCAAGTATTTTGTTTAAGATTTTTGCATTGATGTTCATCAAGGATATTGGCCTGGAGTTTTCTTTTTTGTTGTGACTCTGCCAGGTTTTGGTATCAAGATGATTCTGCCCTCATAGAATAAGTTGGGGAGAAGTCTGCCTCCTCAATTTTTTGGAATAGTTTCGATAGGAATAGTGCCAGCTCTTCTTTGTACATGTGGTAGAATTAAACTGTAAATCCATCCAGTCCTGGGCTTTTTTTGTTGTTGGCAAGCTATTTATTACTGATTCAATTTCAGAGCTCATTATTGGTCTGTTCAGGGAATCAATTTCTTCCTGGCTCAGGCTTAGGAGGGTGTATGTGTCCAGGAATTAATCCATCTCTTCCAGGTTTCCTAGTTTGTGTGTGTAAAGGTGTTCATAGTAGTTTCTGATGGTTGTTTTTATTTCTGTGGGGTCAGTAGTAACATTTCCTTTGTCATTCAAATTGTGTTTATTTGGTTTTTCTCTCTTTTCTTATTAATTATTCTATCTAGTGGCCTATCTTTTTTATTAACTTTTTCAAAAAAACCATTCCTGGATTTGTTGATCTTTTGAATTTTGTGTGTGTGTGTGTCTTGATTCCTTCAGTTCAGCTCTGGTTTTTGTTATTTCTCATCTTCTGCTAGCTTTCCTGTTGATTTGTTTTTGCTTCTCTAATTCTTTCAGTTGTGAAGTTACGTTGTTAATTTGAGAACTTTCTAACTTTTCAATGTGGGCATTTAGTGCTATGATTTTCCCTCTTAACACTGCCTTACCTGTGTCCCAGAGATTCTGGTATGTTGTGTCTTTGTTCTCATTATTTTCAAAGAACTTCTTGATGTCTGCCTTAATTTCATTATTTACCCAAAAGTCATTCAGGAGCATTTTGCTTAATTTCCATGTTATTGTATAGTTTTGAGCAATTTTCATTGTGTTGACTTCTATTTTTATTGTGCTGTGGTCCGAGAGTGTGTCTAGTATGATTTTGGTTCTTTTACATTTGTTGAGGATTGTTTTATGTCCAATTATGTAGTTGATTTTAGAGTATGTGCCATGTGGCGATGAGAAGAATGTATATTGTGTTATTTTGGGGTGGAGACTTCTGTAAAGGTTCATCAGGTCCATTTGATCCAATGCTGAGTTTAGGTCCTGAATATCTTTGTTAATTTTCTCCTTAGATGATCTATCTAATACTGTCAGTGGAGTGTTGTAGTCTCTCACTATTATTGTGTGGGAGTCCATGTCTCTTTGTAGCTCTCTAAGAACTTGCTTTATGAATATTTAAGATAGTTAAATCTTCTTGTTGAATTGAAACCTTTACCATTATGTAATGCCCTTCCTTGTCTTTTTGACCTTTGTTGGTTTGAAATCTGTTTTGTCTGAAATTAGAATTGCAACCCCTTCTTTTTTCTTTTTTCCATTTGTTTGGTAGATTTTTCAGCCTCTTGTTATTTGGAGCCTATGAATGTCATTACTTGTGAGATGGATCTCTTGAAGACTGCATACCATTGGGTCTTGCTTTTCTATCCGGCTTGCCATTTTGCACCTTTTAAGTGGGACATTTAGCCCATTTACATTCAAGGTTAGTATTGATATTTATGGATTTGATCTTGTCATTGGGCTGTTAGCTGGTTATTATGTTGGCTTGCTTGTGTGGTTGCTTTACAATGACACTGGTCTGTGTGTTTAAGTGTGGTTTTGTATTAGCTACCAGTGGTCTTTTCTTTCTATATTTAGTGCCCCCTTCAAGACCTCATGTAAGGCAGGTCTTGTGGTAATGAAGTCCCTTGATATTTGCTTATCTGAAAAGGATCTTATTTCCCTTTCACTTAGGAAGCTTAGTTTGGCTGGATATGAAATTATTGGTTGAAGATTTTTTTCTTTAAAAATGTTGAATATAGGCCCCCAATCTCTTCTGGCCTATAGGGTTTCAGCTGAGAGGTCTGCTGTTAGCCTGATGGGGATCCTCTTATAGGTGACCTGCCATTTCTCTCTAGCTGCCTTTAACATTCTTTCTTTCATTTTGACCTTGGAAAATCTGACAATTATGTGTCATGGGGATGATCTTCTTGTGGAGAATCTTGTAGGAGTTCTCTGTTTTCCTGAATTTGACTGTTGGCCTCTCTAGCAAGGTTGGGGAAGTTTTCATGGATGATATCCCAAAATAGATTTTCTCCCCCTCCCTTTTGGGGATGCCAGTGACGCATAGATTTGGCCTCTTTACATAATCCCATACTTCTCAGAAGTTTTATTTATTCCTTTTTATTCTTTTTTGTTTATTTTTGTCTGACTCTCTTATTTCACGTTCTGAGGTTCTTTCCTCAGCTTAGTTTATTCTGCTGTTAATACTTGTGATTGTATTGTGCAATTCTTGTACTGTGTTATTCAGCTCTGTCAGACCCGTTATGTTCTTCTCCTTCTTTTTTTTTTGACGGAGTCTTACTCTGTTGCCCAGGCTGGGGTGCAGTGGCATTATCTTGGCTCGCTGCAATCTCCACCTCCCGGGTTCAAGCAATTCTCCTGTCTCAGCCTCCCGAGTAGCTGGGATTACAGGCGTCTGCCATCATGCCCAGCTAATTTTTGTATTTTCAGTAGAGACGGGGTTTCGCCATGTTGGCCAGGCTGGTCTCGAACTCCGGACCTCATGTGATCCACCTGCTTTGGCTTCTTAAAGTGCTGGGAATATAGGTGCGAGCCACCATGCCCAGCCTAGGTTCTTTTTCAAACCAGCTATTTCACCCTTCAGCTCCGGTATCACTCTATTATGGTTCTTATTTCCCTTAGACTGGGTTTTGCCATCCTCCTGAATCTAAATAGTCTTTGTTCCTATCCATATTCTGAATTTTATTTCTGTCATTCTAGCCAGTTCGGCCTGGTTAAGAACTCTTGTTAGAGAACAAGAGGTGCGGTCGTTTGGAGGACATATGGCCTTCTGGCCATTTGAGTTACTAGAGTTCTTGCATTGGTTCTTTCTCATCTCTGCATGTTGGTAGCAACATGCAGATGCCGAGGAAGATCAATACACCCTACAAGAGATGTCCTGTAAGGTAGATGGGCAGGGCCTGGTGTCAGCTGTGGAGGGGTGGTGATTTGATGGCTGCTAAAGGGGGAAGACAGCTTTCCAGCAGCTGAGAGGTGGCATGGGCTGCCTATCAGGTGGTTGCTTTCATTGCATTGGCTGTGTTTAACCACAATGTGGGCAACCACTTAGAGAAACTGTACAGAAGACTTAAGAGCCAGATGCATTGTTGGAGTTGACAGCATTTATGGGGACTTCCAACCCTGACATTCTCAATTTGTGCAACTCTTTGGCATTTCAAAGAAAAGGAAACAGTAAGAAACCACATGAAACTGCAACATAGATTCAGTACAGACAATAGACTTCTTTTCTGGATGTTTTCACTGGGCCAAGGCTTTGTGTAGAGTCTTTATTTGAAGCTGATGTCTTGTCTCTGGTTTCAGAGGGGGATATGTTAGTGAAGTATTTTTCGTGTTGAAGCTTTGGGGTGTGATCCAGCAGGTGACACTTAGGCTTATTGGTCAGTTGGTAGACTCTTGTCCGGTTGTGTGGCTCCCCTATGTTTCCTCTCAGTTGCAGCTGTGTTCCCTCTCAGTGCCCTGAAAGTGTGGGGTCCTCTCCCCCTTAAGTGCTGGCCATAGTTCATGACTTGGCACTCTTGGGCTGCCCACTGCAGCTCTGGGGCAATCTCAGAGCTGCTAAGGAAGAGATCTTAGTAATGGTTGTGGCCCAGGGTCGTTTGCTCGACTCCTGGGGCCTCTATGCCAGAGAGATGCAGGTCAGCAATTGCTCAGTGCAGTCAGCCCAAGATGGAGGGTTTGTGCTGTGGACCCAAGCTAGGGGTTCCCTGCCTGGTGATGAGCCACGGTGGGTGTGTGGGACCCGTGGGACACAGACTGGCCACCTCTCCTTGGGTCAACTGCAGCTTGTTGGAGGTATGGATAAGGCACTTAGGGTCTTTGTTCCTTTGTTAGTCTGAGGGTGGCAAGGGCAGTGGCAGAGAAGCTTTCAAATGCCCCTGGAGGATCTGCACAGGGAGCTGCTGAGTTTGTACTGGCTCAAGAGCTCTGGTGGCAGGGTGTCTGGAGGCCCAGGCCTGGAGAACCTGCCCGGTGAGGAGATAGGAGAACGGGTGTATCGTAAGAGTCTGGCCACTTTTCTGTAGGGCTGCTGCAGTATGCTTGGGGCCTGCTTCAGTCTTTAGTCACCTCAGATTTTCCAGAACCTGGAGGTGTCACTAGTGAAGGCTGCAAAAAGACAAAGATGGCAGCATGTCCCTCCCTCTGGGAACTTTGTCCCAGGGAGGTGCAAACCTGTTGCTGGCCCAAAGGCACCTGTAGGAAGTGGCTGGAGGCCCTAGTTTGGAGGTCCCACCCCGTGAGGAGGAAGGGATCAGAACCTGCTTTTAAAAAGCAGCCTGGCCACGTTTTGGTAGAGTAGCTGTGCTGTGCTGGGAGTGCACTTCAGCCCCTGATCGCTTCAGACCCTCTGAAGCCCAAAGGCTGGAATGGCTAAGTCACCCAAACAGCAAAGAAGCAGCCCGCCCCTCCCTCCGGGAGCTCAATCCTAGGGAGAATTAAGATCTTTGTCAGCCGGAGAGCTCAGGCAGGGGTGGGCAGAGGCCCCATTGGGAGGTCCCATCCAGTGAGGAGGAACGGGATCAGGCACCTGCTTAAAGCAGCAGTCTGGCCATGTTTTGGTAGAGGAGCTGTGCTGTGCTGGGGGATCCCTTCAGCCTTCAGCTCAGACTCCAAAGTCTGAAGGCTGGAATGGCCAAGACACCCATACAGCAAAGATGGTGGCCCACCCCTTCCCCTGGGAACTCCTTCTTAAGGAGGTGCGATGCAGCTACTGGTAGTTGGCTGGAATTCCAAGCCAGTGGGTCTTATCTTGTGAGGTGCCATGGAAGTGGGGTGTGTGGGCTGTTGCGGCTCAGCCCCCTGGGAGAAGCCTGGTTTCCCCGGGTCACTCATTCAGTCACCGCTTCCCTGTGTGGCGGGGGGATCCCCTGGCTCCATGTTGTTCCTAGGTAGGCTGTTGTCTTGCTTTTATTCGTTCTCTGTGGGTCAGGTTGTTTCCTTGATTAATCCCAGTGTGAATGCCTGGATGTTTCAGTTGAAGGTGTTGTATTTATTTGCCCCTTCTTTTCCTCTACCTGACAGCCATGCACACTAGCTGCTTCTAGTTGGCTATCTTGGACACTCCCCTCCGCCCCCCACTCTGCCATTCAGCCTTTCAAAAGAAGGAAATTTGGCTGGGCATGGTGGCTCACACCGGAAATCTCAGCACTTTGGGAGGCCGAGGCGGGTGGATCACCTAAGGTCAGGAGTTCGAGATCAGCCTGGCCAACATGGTGGAACTCCATCTCTACTAAAAATACAAAAATTAGCCTGGCATGGTGGCGGGCACCTGTAATCCCAGTTACTGTGGAGGCTGAGGCAGGAGAATTGCTTGAACCCAGGAGGTGGAGGTTGCAGTGAGAGGAGATCACGCCATTGCACTCCAGCCTGGGCAACAAGAGTGAAACTCCATCTAAAAGAAAGAAAGAGAGAAAGAAAGAAAGAAGGAAAGAAAGAAAGAAAGAAAGAAAGAAAGAAAGAAAGAAAGAAAGAAAGAAAGAAAGAAAGAAAGAGAAAGAGAAAGAAAGAGAGAGAAAAAGAAAGAAAGAAAGAAAGAAAGAAAGAAAGAAAGAAAGAAAAGAAAGGAAAGGAAAGAAAGAAGGAAAGAAAGAAAGAAAGGAAATTCTAGCTAGGCATGTTGGTATGCATCTGTAGTCCTAACTACATGGGAGGCTAAGATGAGAGGATTGCTTGAGCCCAGGAGTTCAAGTCCAGCCTGGGCAACATAGCAAGACCCCATTCCTTAAAAAAGGAAGAAAATTTTGTCACTTGCAGCAACAACATGGATGGAATTAGAGAGCATTATGCTGAGTAATATAAGCCAGAATAGAAAAGCAAATACTACATGTTCTCAATTATATGTGGGATCTAAAAAACTTGAACTCATAGAAGCAGAGAATAGAATGGTAGTTACCAGAGGCTGGGGGTGGGGTGCATGGGGAGATGATGGTTAAAAAATATAAATAGGCCAGGTGTGGTGGCTCATGCCTATAACCCCAGCACTTTGGGAGGCCAAAGTGGGAGGATCGCTTGAGGCCAGGTGTTAGAGACCAGCCTGAGTAACATAGCAAAACCCCATCTCTACTAAAAATGAAAAAATTAGCTTGGTGTAGTGGCATGCACTTGTGGTCCCAGCTACTCAGGAGGCTGAGGCAGGAGGATCACTTAAGCCCAGGAGGTCAAGGATACAATGAACCATGATCACATCACTGCACTCCAGCCTGGGCAACAGAGCTAGACCTTGTCTTAAAAAGACACACACTCACACACACATAAGCACCAACTCATTCCTTAGGAGAGATAAGGGGTTTTTTTTTTTACATCTACTGCACAGCATGGTAAATATATTTAATAATAGTGTATTGTACATTTCAAAATTGCTAAGACAGTAAATTACAAATGTTCTCACCACAAAAAATGATAAGTATTTGAGGTGATGGATATGTTAATTACTTTGAATTAATTATTACACATGGTATTCATAAATCATAATATCACTTTGTACCTCATAAACATATACAGGTATAAATTGTCAATTTATAATAAAATAAATAAAAAATAAATTGATTGAGACTTGTAAAAAATATCTAAGTCTTTCTCACATGCATCCTTAAAGCCCATTTCCACTATGGAAACCTGGGTATATAATCCTGAGTTTATTTACCATGTAAGTTCCTTCAAATGTCCCCATAAGCTAGTACCAACTGAAACTGAAACACTCAACTTTCCATAAAGACAGCAACAAAACAAGACTATGATGAGAATCCAAGTCTTTTTTTTTTTTTTTTCGGAGATGGAGTCCTGCTCTGTCCCCCAGGCTGGATTGCAATGGCACAATCTCAGTTCACTGCAACTTCCACCTCCTGGGTTCAAGCGATTCTCATGGAGCAGCCTCTTGAGTAACTGGGATTACAGGTGTGCACCACCACGCCCGGCTAATTTTTGTATTTTTAGTAGAGACAAGGTTTCACCATGTTGGCCAGGCTGGTCTCAAGCTCCTGGCCTCAAGATATCTGCCTGCCTCGGCCTCCCAAAGTTCTGGGATTACAGGCATGAACCACCACTCCCAGCCAGAACCAAGTCTTTTTCACGTTTCATTCCCCAGTGTCTAGCACAGGGCCTGGCCTGAAATAGATGATGCTCAGTGAAATTTCATTGTATTATACAACACAAGAAGGAAGAAGCAATTCTCAACCTTCCTTAGCACATGCCAAAGCATCAGCCAGTAAAGGAACTGAGAGAGGCTGTCATCTACAGCATGAATGGGAATATGGCAAGGCTTTCATTCAAGTAATTTTCTCTCACATTAGATGCAAAGTCATTACTCCTTCTAGACAGTTTCAACATTCTATAATCAACCACCAGCGGCATGGTGTGGTGGACACCTAGCAGCACCAAAAGAGCTTCCTGTCCCAAGTGGCCCCCCACAGTTGCCTGTCATGCTGCCTTATCTTCTTAGTATAGTCTTCACTCTTTAAAGGGTTAGGTTTTTTTGGGTTTTTGTTGTTGTTGTTGTTGTTGTTGTTCTGTGTGTTTTTTTTTTCTATCAAGGGTGAACATGTAGCAGAGCTAGGATCATCTGACTAAGTGGAGACAGCCCGATCTCAGCTCTTATAGCTCTTTTGTAAGCAACCTATGATTCTTCAAGCCTCTTGAATTCTGTATTACAATAGCCTGCTATGTTGGATTCAGTTAGGTATGTGCTAAGCACATGGTTCTCCTGCATAATAATGTAAGAAAACATCCTCCTAGAGTTGGTGGTCAGTCATCTCGTACTCTATGTTTATGTCTGATATCTTCCTCTGACACACCAGCAGAGAGCACGTAAGTTAAGTGACCTTTACCCATGGTTTCAGAGACATGATGGGTCCAAGGTCCTAGCTGCATAGGAAATCCAAGAGTGTAAATTTTTAAAAATTGATAGGAATTTTATAAAGCCAAATTTGAAGAAAGAGCCAAGAAAACTTATGAATGGAGAATGTCAAAAGCAGTAGACTTTAATTTACCCTATATACAAAAATTAACTCAAAGTGGATCAAATATCTAAATTTAAGAGTTAAAACTATAAAACTTGTAGAAGAAACAGAGGAGCAAATCTTGACAACTTTGAATTTGGGCATAGTTTCTTAAATCTGACACCAAAAGCACAGGCAACAAAAGAAAAAATATAGTAATTGCACTTCATTAAAATTATAAACTTTTGTGTATCAAAGGACATTATCAATAGAGTGAAAAGAAAACCCAAAGTATGGGAGAAAATACATGCAAATCACAAATCTGACAAAGGCTTAATATCCAAAATATATAAAGAACTTTTACAACTCAACAACAAAAAGACAACCCAATTTTAAAATGGGCAAAGGACTTGAATAAACATTTTACCGAATAAGATATGCAAATGGCAAAAATCACATGAAAAGATGCTCAACATCATTAGTCATTAAGAAAATGCAAATCGAAACCACAATGAGGTCCAGGTGTGGTGGCTCACACCTGTAATCCTAGCACTTTGAGAGGCCAAGGCAGGTGGATCACTTGAGGTCAGGAGTTCAAGATCAGCCTGGCCAACATGGCGAAACCCCATCTCTACTAAAAATAGAAAAATTAGCCAGATGTGTGGTGGCACGTGCCTGTAATTCCAGCTACTCGAGAGGTTGAGGTGGGAGGATCACTTGAACCCAGGAGGCAGAGGTTGAAGTGAGCCGAGATTGTGCCACTGCACTCTAGCCTGGGTGACAGAGTGAGACCTGGTCTCAAACACACACACTCACACACACATACACACACACAAAATGAGATATCACTTCTATCCTACTAGGATGACTATAGTAAAAAAAAATCAGACAGTAACAAGCATTGCTGAAGATTTGGAGAAATTGGAACACTCGTGCATTGCTGTTGGGAATATAAAATGGTGCGGCCACTGTGGAAAACAGCTTGGCACTTACTCAAAAATTTAAATGTAGAATTATTATATGATCCAGCAATTCCACTTTGGAGTATACACCCAAATGAATTGAAAGCAGAGACTCAAACAGATACTTGTACATTCATGTTCATAAGCAACATTATTCACAACAGCCAAAAGGTGGAAACAACCCAAGTGTCCATCAATAGACGAATGAATAAACAAAATTTGGTATATCCATACAGTGAAATATCATTCGGCCATAAAAAGGAGTAAGGCTCCAACACATACTACAACATTCTGAGTCAAATATGCCAGGCACAAAAGAACAAATACTATGTCACTCCACTTACATGAAAGATTTTAAATAGGTAAATTCATAGAGACAGAAATTAGATTAAAGGTTATCAGAAACTGAGAGTAGGAGGGAGGGAAGAATGAGGAGTTATTGCTTACTGGATTCATAGTTTCCGTTTGCGGGGGTGAAAAAATTTAGAAATAGTGGCAATGGTTGTACAACATTTTGAATGTAATTAATGCCATTGAGTTTTACACTTTAAAAGGTTAAAATAGCAGTCTATTTCATACGTATTTTACCACAGTAAAAAAAAAAAAAGCAGTTGCTGTGTCTGTGTTAATGGTTCTATTTGAAGTGAGAAGCCATAACAGAACCAGACGCAGCTCAAGGGCATTTTGATAGGGGACCTGAAAGAACAGTGCCAGCAACTCCAGTTTTGCTTTTGCACAAGGATGATGGTGGTTCAGTGTGCTGGTTCAGCCTTCGTCACATTCTCATCAGATGCTGCTTAGTTGAGCTTTAGGATGAGATGCATGATCCATGACTCTACGCAGGAGACCTCTTGAGGCTCTGGAAAGTGAATGAGCTCAGCATTCTTGTTAGGGGAGGGAAGAGGATGTTCCAAGGACTGTGGGTGAAGGCAACGTGTTTGTTGCCCAGGGTTATAATACATGGAGCCAAGGAGCAGATTCCAAATGTGGAGTCCTGAGGATGCCAAGATGTTAGCTGATACAGAGCACAAAACATAAATCACCAAGGCTGAAGGATTACCAGAAATATAGAACCAAGATATGAAAGCAAAAATTAAGGAGACAGGGAAGCTAACACATGAAGTGGGTTAGGGTGGGCTTGAATTGTTTCTGAGCTATCTGCCTCAGATTTTTATAGGATTCTCATGACTGACATTACATTTAAGGGCCTGAAAAGAATGGAACGTTTAAGGTATTTTTGGCATTATAAACCATCATTATTAGACTCTTTTAAGAACACTCCCTTTTAAGGAGAGAAGTAACCTGGGAAACTGACAAGAGCTGTTAGCCTGAGAAAGGAAGAATCGGGGCATGTCAATCTTTCCTCCTCCACAAATAATCAATAGAAATAACAGCATTCCTCAGACATAATAAAAGAACTTAGATGACACTTTATTATAGGCACAGAGACTTTAGAAATGGAAGACACAGCAATTGTCTGTTACATGACCACTGGATATTGGAAATTGGATACCATATGAAACAGAGAGGCTCCTGGAGTGTTGGTACCTGCTATGGAAGCCCCATCTATGGAGCAACCAAACCCAGGTGCTATTTGTCCAGGTCAGGTCTATGTCCTAAGGCTAAGAGTGATAGCAGGTAGATAACATGGGGACAGCTGAGTGAAGTTGAGGCAAAGAGTCAGAAAGAAAAACCTGTGGCACAAGAGACTTATCACACAACTGGGATGGCCACCCCTTACAATCTGTGCGATGTTTCTATACCTCATGCTTGTAAATTCAGTGCAGAGGCCATCAGGTTGTGAGACCAAGTAGATTTATCTCTTGCTGCATAGCACAGATCTGGGCCTGGAAAGAATGAAACAGTCTCTGAGTAAGAAAGGGGAGAAAGTATTAACAAAAAAGAGGAGGAGAGAGGGAGATTGATAAAAGAAAATGTGAAGGGGAACATAATTCAATCTGCTTCTTTCATAATGCCAAGGGCAAGGCTAGGCTTGCCAAAATCGCACAGGAGTCAGGGATTCAATATTTACCCAACAGTCGGTGGCTAAAATAGATTATAATATAAAACCAACTGAATTATGAGAATTACTTGAGCAGTAGAAAACTAAAATATATTAAAGTCATCCATCAGGCCCTCCTGTTGCTAGTAAATGATAATTGGCTAAATCTATTTTCTGGGGTTGCTAGCAAAGGTTGCTCTGGCTCCTGCTCTGGCAGGGAGTAAAAGGAGCAGGTCCTGGGGAGCTAGCCCTGCATACAGGACTTGGAAGAGAGGTACTTCTTTCCTGTGTATTACACAGAAGACAAGTAATAAATTATACTGGTTGTGGGTGATAGGGAGACATCAAGTCAAAATTAGAATAAGGAATACAAATGTGTTATCAACTAAAGTGTCTAGATATTTTTTGAGCCATAGGACCCTTTGACAGTTTAGGAAAAACTATAAATTTCTTTTAAAAGAATAATATTTAAGTATATAAAATAAAACATAATGAGCTACAAATGAAACCAAATATATCTCTGTACAATCATAAAAATATTAATAAGTGATACAGTAATGTATGTGTTTCCTTATTCACACATCCAATAACAAGATCTGGTGGCAGGTCTAGTAACTATTATGATTCCAAAGTAGTGATTAGCATAAAAGGTACTTTGAAGCCTCTACAACTTCTGAAATTTTATATTAAAAGATTTCTACTCCTTTCAAAGTTGCATGTACTACACGTACTACTGTGGTTCGCTGCTTATGTTCATAATATAATTTTAGTTGGACGTTAGTGAAAATGAAACTGTATTTTTTTTATACAAGTTTATAGACCCCTTGATTTTTACCCATTGACTCCTTGGGGATTTGTGCATCCAGATTAAGAACCCCTGGTAGAAGTAAAAAACAAGAGCCAAACAAGGAAGCAGGAAAAGTTACAAACAAATCTGCCTCTTTTATAATAGAGAGGGCAAGCAGGAGGTCTAAATTAAGTGCAGATACCTGTAGCGGTTTTTAAAATGTTCCCATTGTCTTAGTCCATTTGGGCTGCTATAACCAAATACTGTAAAGTGGGTGGCTTATACACAACAGAAATTAATTTCTCACAGTTCTGAGGGCTAGAAAGTCCAAGATCGGTCGGCCACGGTGGCTCACGCCTATAATCCCAGCACTTTAGGAGGCCGAGATGGGTGGATGACCTGAGGTCAGGAGTTTGAGACCAGCCTGGCCAACATGCCAATACCCTGTCTCTACTAAAAATACAAAAATTAGTTGGGCATGGTGGTGCACACCTGTAATCCCAGCTACTCGGAAGGCTGAGGCAGGAGAATCACTTGAACCCAGGAGGCAGAGGTGGCAGTGAGCCAAGATTGTGAGATCGTGACACTGCACTCCAGCCTGGGTGACAGAGCAAGACTCCAAAAAAAAAAAAGAAAGAAAGAAAGAAAAAGAAAGAAAGAGAAAGAAAGAAAGAAAGAAAAGAAAAAGAAAAGGAAAGGAAAAGAAAAGAAAAAAGGAAGTCCAAGATCAAGGCACTGGAAGATTTGGTGTCTGGTGAGGGCTCACTTTCTGGTTCTCAGATGGCACACTCCCACTGTGTCTTCACAAGGTGCAAGGAGCAAGCTAACTCTCTGTGGCCTCTTTTATAAGTGCACTAGTCCCACTTGTGACATAATCACTTCCCAAAAGCCTCACCTCCTAATACCATCACACTGATAACTAGGTTTCAGCGCATGAGTTTCGGGGACGCAAATATTCAGATCATAGCACCCATAATGCACTTGCTTGACTGAACTGAATTCAGCTAAAGGACCAGACAAAAAGCAGACAGGTTATAAATAAAAGAAGAGTGGCTCCATGTTGGTAGCTATTGAAGCTGTGTGATACATACACAGGGACTGTTTGTACCACTCCCTCTACTCATCTGTATATTTGAAATTTTTCATACTAAAATGATTTAGAAGTAATAAACACAATAAAGGGGCTAGATGCAGTGCCTCTCGCCTGTTGTCCCAACTACTTAGGAGGCTTAGGAGAGAGGATCACTTGAGCCTAGGAGTTCAAGGTTGAGGTGAGCTATGATTATGCCACTGCACTCCAGCCTGGGTGACAGAGCAAGACATTGTCTCTAAAAAAAATAATAAATTAATCTAAGTAAATTAAATAAAGGACCTGACATGTCAGGTGCAGTGGCTCGTGCCTGTAATCCCAGCACCTTGGGAGACCAAGGCAGGAGGATATCTTGAGGTCGGGAGTTCAAGACCAGCCTGGTCAACATGGCGAAACCCTGTCTCTACTAAAAAATAAAAAAATTAGGTGGATGTGGTGGCATGCACCTGTAGTCCCAGCTACTCAGGAGGCTGAGGCATGAGAATCACTTGAACCTGGGAGGCAGAGGTTACAGTGAGCTGAGATCGTGCCACTGCGCTCCAGCCCAGGAGACAGAGCAAGACTCCATCTCAAAAAACAAATAAAGATAAAAATAAAAATGAGGACCTGACATCCTGTTTGATCATCAGAATTCCTCAAATTAATTAATTCATTCACTCACCTATCTATTCATTTATTCAATATTTATTGTTGCCTCTGGCACAATGTAGGTTATAGGAAGACTGAAACAAGAGTCATGTAGGTGTCAGACCAGGAGAAACATTAAGGAGGAATCAGTTCCAGTTCAGAATGAAAGTAAGAGAATGGTAGGAGGAAACCAGGAGGCAAAGTAGAAGACTCTGAAGGAGGACATTTTGATAAGGGTGAAGTTCTTGAAAGAAAGCGAAAGAAGGTGGGGCACATAACAATGGGGCACATATTATAAGGTAACAAGCTGGCTGGAAGCAAGAATGGGGGATTGGAGAAAATGGCTGAAGACATGGGGAACTACCAATGGCAGCTTTGCAGCCTCCTTCACAACTATGTCTATCCCTGCATGGAGGAATCAACTTGGTGGCTGTTTTCCACCCAAAAAGGTTTATTCAAGAATACATCATTTGGTAAATAAAAACAAACAAACAAAAAAGTCAGGTCTCATCAGAGCTCTGTCCTTAAAACATCATTTTAAAGTTCATTATGAATCTCAAAAGAAAAAAATATGTACGTTAACTTGTGGAACAGATAATTAAAAGGAACACAGTATAAAAAGAACACAGTATAAAAGGAACAGTATAACTTGGAACTAATGAAAATCAAATGTCAGAGAGAAGAAATTAATCTCTGTTTATATTTCATTTCCTCTAACATTTGCCTAACTGAGAAAACAGCAACTAGGTTTTAATAACATTGGAAGAGCAAAAATTCCCAGGATGTAACCCTTTAAACAAGTTTTCTTCTAAAGACCATTTCAATAATGGCTTGGTAATTATTACATTCAGAGGAGAACTCTGGCTGGCACCTTCCAATAGTGGGATACAGGACCCCGCTGGCAGCCAGATGCCCACATTCTACACTCCTGACTCTTTCAAGAAACAAAGTCCAGACGAGTTTCATCAGGAAAATCTTTTGTAAAAAGATTGGCAAACGAGAGGAATTCTGCTCCAAAATGTGTTTCTCCTTCTTTGGCTACTACTAGTTATGTTTCCTTCAGCATTTCCTGTGACTCTGTTAGCCAGAACACAGTGACTTGAATTTGTCATCCAATTGGCAACTGTTCCATTCCCTTCAGGGGTCCTAGTTATATCTGCTACAACATCTGAACAGTAGGTGGTCCAGTCCCTGTCCACAAAGGCACACAAGTCAGAGGGGAAAATAATATCTCTAAAATATTCATCTCTCAAAAACCTTCTTACACCCATGGTTGGCAGCAAGAAAAGTCCTGTTTGCTACTACCAGCATTCAAATAGTTTAATGATTTGCCATCAAATTAGCCTAAACTATCTTGGTTAAGAACACAGGCTCTGGAGACAAACATGGGTCTTTATTTAAGAGACCACACACACACATACTTACTAACTGTGTGACCTTGAACAAGTTACTTAACTCCTCTAAGACTTAGTTTCATAATAAGTAAATAAGGAATAGATAGATACAGCTATTTATCTCATAGAGTCGTTGTAAGCATTAAATGAGAGATCTTGTGCAGTTCCTTCCCTGAAACCCCCATCCCTCAGTAATGCAGGCCTATCACTCCACTGGCCAGTCATACCTCACTAGCCCCGCTCCAGAGGTGTGGATCTGAGAAGCCTCTGGGTACTCCACAGCAAACCCCTAGCATGAGCATCCAGAGCTCCTAGGTGCTCTAGGGAAATGTGAACACAATTCACCCCCATTCCATCACCAAGGTCAAAAAACAGGAGAATGGCCACCTGAAAAGCAATTAAAACCTGGCACTCATAGGCAAAGGGAAGTCTCATCACCTTAAATGGAACGGATGAGGCAGGCGAGGCTACCCCAGATGCCATCAAACCAGCACTCCGCAATGTAGAGCCCCAAAGAGACTCAGAAGAAGAAAGAAGGAGAAGGATAATGAGGGGAATAAAAGAAGAAAAGAGGAAGGAAATGAGGAGATGGAGGAGGAGGAGCCTTCTAGAGACTGAATGTTTGTGCCCCCCAACAAAATTTATAAATTTATATATATATATATATATATATTTTTTTTTTTTTTTTTTTTTTTTTTGAGACGGAGTCTCTCTCTCTGTCACCCAGGCTGGAGTGCAGTGGCACGATCTCGGCTCACTGCAAGCTCCACCTCCCAGGTTCACACCATTCTCCTGCCTCAGCCTCCCGAGTAGCTAGGACTACAGGCGCCTGCCACCACGCCCAGCTAATTTTTTGTATTTTTAGTAGAGACAGGGTTTCACTGTGTTAGCCAGGATGGTCTCGATCTCCTGACCTCGTGATCCGCCCACCTCAGCCTCCCAAAGTGTTAGGATTACAGGCGTGAGCCACTGCTCCTGGCCCAAAATTTATATATTAAAACTTAATCCCCAATGTAATAGTATTAGGAGGTGGTGCCTTTGGGATGTGATTAGGTCGTGAGGGTGGAGCCCTCATGAATGGGATTAGTGCCCTTATAAAAGAGGCCCTTCATTGGCTGGACATACAAGAAAAGTAAAATAAAACGAGAGGCCTCAGAGATTTTCCTCTCCTCTTCCAACCTGTGAGGTTATAGTGAGAAGACAGCTGACTATGAACCAGTAAACGGGCACTCACCAGATATTGAATCTGCTGTTGCCTTGATCTTGGTCTTCCCAGCCTTCAGAACTGTGAGAAATAAATTTCTGTTGTTTATTAATCACCGACTCCATGGTATTCTGTTATAGCAGACTGAATGGACAAAGATGGAGTCCTTCAAATACAGGCCTTTCAAGAGAAACCAGAAAGAGGTTGAAGATATTGTGTCTCCCACCTCACCAACCAAGAGAAGGGGAAGTTTGTGCTGGTGGTGCTGAACAGTCTGCCAGGAAGGAAAGGCCACCGCCACCACCTTCTCCCAAGAGCCAGGAGTCCCAAGCAGAGGCTACCTCTACCAGTAATGCTGGAAACACAAAAGAAGAGACAGGGCTCCAAGCCACAGAATTGTCCACCCCCTCAAGCCAGAGACCAGCACCGACACCAAGGGTCAGGAAGCACAATGAAGAGCTGGGTTGGGAGCACACAAGTGATTGCTAAGCTGCAAAAATTGTACTGTCATTGTAGGGTGACTGGCCAGACCGAGTACCCTCACTTTCTCCCCATGCCAAAAACAAAAAACAAAAAAAAAAACTGTCTTCTGCTTCCCCACAGCCACATTTTCCCCTTTCTCTTTCCTGAGGACCTTCCCATAATCCATCTGCCCTTCCCTCCTCAAGGACAGTTGAAAATGATCTTTTACAGTTTTCTGAGTGAGTTTAGTCATGTAAAATACATCTGTTCCATCTCCCCACCTCTTTCACTGGCTCTACACTTGCAGAGGTCAATTTCTGATTCTCCTCCCTACTTCTATTCCAGGTAAGTTTTGTTTACCTGCCCACTAAATCCCAGAGCCAGAGTGGAGTGTTTTCACTCCCAGACTCTGAGCATACACCTCTGCCACCCTATGTTGAGTTTTTAATTTCCTTTGCTTTCCAAGGGTCTCTGAGTTGGGACATTGACCCTCCCTAGGTTTATCCCTCCAGACTGGGAATCAACTGTGTGTCCATTTTAGACATGGTCGGGGAATGGTTAGGCTTTCAGGCCAAGGCAGGGAGAGAGAGGAAAGTGTCTAATGTAATACATCTTATTTTTTGTCTCCCTTGTTGTAAATAACATATAATGGCCAAATCCTGAAGATGTATACATTCTAATTGCTAAAATCATTCCCACTTGGCTCCATTGTAACATTTGGAAAGAAAATAAATGCTGATCCCTCTAAAAAAGAGAAAATTAAATGAGATAGACTATGTATGGTCCTTAGCAAAAACCTAGCACAAAGTGTTCAATAAGTGTTAGCTTTTGTTATCATTTTAAAGACTTCTGAATCCTATTTTCATTACTCCATTCATTTACTCACTCAAAAAATATTGTTTAGGCCAGGCACGGTGGCTCATGCCTATAATCGCAGCACTTTGGGAGGCCAAGGTGGGCAGATCACTTGATGTCAGGAGTTCAAGACCACTCTGGCCAACATGGCAAAACCCTGTCTCTACTAAAAATACAGAAAAAATTAGCCGGGCATGGTGGCACACGCCTGTAATCCCAGCTACTTGGGAGGCTGAGGCAGGAGATAGCTTCAACCTGGGAGATGGAGGTTGCAGTGAACTGAGATCATACCACTGCACTCCAGCCTGGGTGACAGAGTGAGACTCCATCTAAAAACAAAAAAATTATATGTATAGTTTGGGTGCTTACTTTATCACGAATATAACACAATATTAGACATTGGAGGCTGGGGATTGGAGTACAAAGAAAGAAAAGAACACCTCTAAATAGTCTCTACTCTGCAGGACTTTACAATGTGATTGTGGAGACAAGGTGTACACATGAGTGATAGTGTCAGAAATCCCGGCAAGGTATTAAGTGCGAAGTGAATGATATAGATTGAAAGGGGGCACTTGGTAGAGTTGAGGTAAAAAATGGCTGCATGCAACTTTGTGTTGATCCCTGAAGGATGGTCAATCTTTGTAGTGGCAAGGGACATTGTAGACAGTGGCAACAACATGAGTATGAACTTAAAATTTCAAATAAGTACAACATATTCAAGAGACAATGAGAAAACCAGCCTATAGAGGGGCCATGGCAGACCATGGCAGAGACAGTAAAAAGTGCAGCTAGAGAGATTTGGGTTACATCAAGATTCATGGCTAATAGGAGTTTAAGATATGTAGCCCAGCTCCTGACATGTAGGGGCCAGAAGGAAGATGGTGTCTATGGGGAAGGGGCACTGATAGGAACAACAGAGGAAGGCAAGAGCCAGGCATGGTGGTGCAAGCCTGTAGTTCCAGCTCCTTGGAAGGCCAAGGTTGGGGGATTGCTTGAGGCCTGGGCTTTGAGACCAGCCTGGGCAATATAGTGAGACCACTTGTCTACAAAAAAGTTAACAATTAGCTAGGCATGGTGACTGTAGTCCTAGCCACTCAGGAGGCTAAGGCAGGAGGATCGCTTGAGCCCAGGAGTTTGAGGCTACGGTGAGCTGTGATCACAACACTGCACTCCAGCCTGGGCAATGGAGTGAGACTGTGTCTCAAAAAAAAAAAGACAAAACATTTGAGTTCATCATCCTTTTGAAACCAGCCCAATTTTCCCAGAAAACTGATGTTTATGGTTTTTTTAGATGAGAACATGTCCCGGCACACAAAAAAAAAGGAATAAAAAAAATTTAAAAACTGATGTTTATGGTTTTTTCTAAATAAACATAGAAATTGAATCTCCTGGTCTCTCTCTTTTAAGAGATGGGGTCTCACTATGTTGGCTAGGGTGGTCTCAAACTCCTGGCCTCAAGTGATCTTCCCACCGTGGCATTTGGCAACATTTCTTAGTGAGCAGACTCTGACTAAGACAGAATTTTTCTGCTGTCAAATGGCCTGAAGTCAATTATGAAAGTTAGGCATCTAGGGCATATATTTGTCAGGTTAGCTGAGTGCAGACTAACCAGGGACATGCTATAAAAGTTTATTTTTTAAAATAAATTCCTGATACAGCCTTCTTTTTTTATTGTTTACCTCATTCCCCTAAAAGCTAGGCATAACAAGAAAAGAAAAATGGCCGGGTGCGGTGGCTCATACCAATAATCCCAGCACTTTGGGAGGCCGAGGCAGGTGGATCACAAGAGGTCAGGAGTTTGAGACCAGCCTGGCCAACATGGTGAAACCCCATCTCTACTAAAAAGACAAAAAGCCAGGCATGGTGGCGGGTGCCTGTAATCCTAGCTACTTAGGAGGCTGAGGCAGGAGACTCACTTGAAACCAGGAGGCAGAGGTTGCAGTGAGCCGAGATTGCACCATTGCACTCCAGCCTGGGCGACAGAGTAAGACTCTGTCTCAAAAAAAAAAAAACAAAAAAACAAAAAAAACAAACAAAAAAAAACAAAGTGAAAGTTAAAAGTCAGTTAATTCAACTTCCACTATGGCCAAGATGGAGTACCAGGGGCTGGATTTATCCTACCACCTTAAAACTATAAAATTGTATGAAATGTATGAAAGAACTGTTTTTAGACATTGGGGCAATAAGCAGTGAAGAATTGTAACCCCCAAATATCTGGAAACACACAAAGTTAACCCTGCCATTGCATAAGGCTGTTTCCAGTATGCAGCACAAGGAGAAGAGACCCAAACAGAACCCAGCAGTCTCCTTGAGTTGAGGAGACAGAGACTGGTGTTCAGGGAGGTCAAGGCAACTATAATTTGTGGAACAGACTACCAGAGAGGAAGAAGCTGCACAGAGAAAATGTCCCAGAGATTGGCAGAAGAGTCCCCTTAAGTCTTTGGCTAAGTACTGATCTGCACAGAAGTAAGAAGAAAATACCAAGAGCCAAGGAAATAATCACCAAAAAAGGAGTAACTAGAATCATTCCTGGAGCTCACAGAAGGCTGGTAATAGTACATGTCTTCACCAGCCAGAGTAGAAAAATCTCCTAATACACAGATTACTTAGTAGAATCCTCAGAAGAATGATACCTTAGTAGGAGTGCAAAATTAACCCTAAACTAAAGGGTATTCTAGACCTGTCCTAACAAAGCTTAAGAGCAAGCTGAATGAAAATGAAAGTAAAACATCAAAATTGTAGGATGCAGCTAGTTGTGGTGGTACGTGCCTAGAGTCCCAGCTACTTAGAAGGCCGAGGCAGAAGAATAGCTTGAACCCAGGAGTTCGAGTCCAGCCAGTGCAACGTAAGATGACCCTATCTTTAAAAAAAAAATGTACGATGCAATTAAAACAATCCTTAGAAGGAAATTTATAGCATTGAATACTTACATAGGTTGAGCATTCCTAATCCAAAAATCTGAACTGCTCCAAAATCTGAACCTTTTTAGTGTCAACATGATACCACAAGTGGAAAATTTCATACCTGACCTCATATGAGAGGTTGCAGTCAAAACTTTGCTTCATGCTCAGAAGTATTTAAAATATTGTATAAAATTGCCTTTAGGCTATGTGTATAAGGTATATATAAAACATAGGCTGGCGCAGTGGTTCATGCCTATAATCCCAGCATTTTGGGAGGCTGAAGCGGGTGGATCACTTGGACCCAGGAGTTCGAAACCAGCCTGGCCAACATGGTGAAACTCCATCTCTACTAAAAATACAAAAATTAGCCAGGTGTGGTGGCACATGCCTGTAATCCCAGCTACTCAGGAGGTTGAGGCAGGAGGATCACTTGAGCCTGTGAGGCAGAGGTTGCAGTGAACCAAGACTGTGCCACTGCACTTCAGCCTGGGCAGCAGAGAGAGATTCTGCCTCAAAATAAATAAATAAATAAATAAATAAACCATAAATGAACTTTGTGTTTAGACTTGGGTCCCATCCCCAAGATATCTCATTATATTTATGCAAATATTCCAAAATCTGAAAAAAAAATCTAAAATCCAAAACGCTTCTGGTCCCAATAATTTCAGATGAGACACACTCAACCTGTATTAGAAAAGAGGGGCAATGATTTTTTGAAAATGATAACAAAAGCACAAGCCACAAAATGAAAATAAATAAGTGCAACTATATCAAACTAAAAAGCTTCTGCACAGCAAAGAAAACAATCAACAAAATAACTAGGCAACCTATGGAATGGGAAAAAATATTTGCAAACCATATATCTGATAAGGGGTTAATATCTAAAACATATAAGAAACTCATACAACAACTCAATTTCAAAAAAAATTCCAAACAACCCAATTTAAAAATGGTCAAAGGACCTGAATAGACATTTCTCCAAAGAAAACATACTAATAGTAAACAGGTATATGAAAAAAATGTTCAAAATCACTAATCATCAGGGAAATGCAAATCAAAACCATAATGAGATATCACCTCACACCTGTTAGGATGACTATTACAAAAAAGGTAAGAAATAACAAGAGTTGGAGAGGGTGTGAAGAAAAGAGAACCCTTATGCACTATTGATGACAATGTACATTGGTACGAAAGCAGTATGGAGGTTCTTCAAAATGCTAAAAATAGACCTACCATACAATGCAGCAATCCCATTTCTGGGCATATATTTGAAGGAAACAAAATCAGCATCTCAAAGAGATTGCAGCATTATTCACAATAGCCAAGATATGAAAACAACCTAAGCATCCATCAATGGATGAATGGAGAAAAAAATATGATAGATAGATAGACAGATAGATAAATACATACATACATACAATGGAATATTATTCATCCATAAAAAGAAGGAAATCCTGTCATTTGTGACAATGTGGATGAACCTGAAGGATCTTATGCTAAGTGAAATGAGCCAGACTCACAAACAGGCAAATACTGTATGATCACACTTACATGTAGAATCGAAAAAGTCAGACTCATAGAAGCAGAGTACAATGGTGGTTGTCAGGGGAGTGGAGGAAATAGGGAGATGTTGGTCAAAGGGTAAAAACTTTCAATTATAAGATGAAGAAGTTTTGGTAATTTTAATCTACAGCATGATTACCATAGTTTATTAAAATTCTCTGCTAAATACTTGATATCTTAAATGTTCTCACCACTAAAAAATGGCAAATTCATAAGGTGATAGATTCTTAACTAACTTGATTGTGGTAACCATTTCACAATATATGCATATAGCAAATCACCATGTTGTACACCTTAAACTTATACTGTATTTGTTAATTGTACTTCAATATATCTGAGGTGAAAAGAGGAAAAGACTCAAGTCAATAATATAAGCTCCCACCTTAAGACACTAAAACAAAAAGAGCTAAATAACCCAAAACCAAGCAGAATGAAGAAAATAATAAAAATAAGAGGAAAAATTAACAAAATTGAAAACAGAAAACAATAGAGAAGATCAATTAAAATGAAAGCTAATTATTTGAAAAGATGAATACAATTCACAAATCTGACAAAAACTGATAAATGTAAAACAAGACACAAATTATCAATATAGGAAATTAAAGAGAATATCAGTAGAGATGACTCAGACATTGAAAGGGAAAATAAGGGAATACTACAAATAAGTCTATGCACATAAATCTGACAGCTTCTATGTGATAAACCAATTCCTCAAATACCACAAGCTGTGAAAACTCACCCAAGATTAAATAAATAGCCTGAATAGTCCTATAACTATTTAAGACATTGAATTCATATTTTAAAGCCTTTCAAAAAAGAAATTTCTAGGTCCAAGTGGTTTCACTGGTAGACATTTAAAGAATATAAAAACCAATTCTACACAATCTCTACCATGAAATAGTAGAGAAGCCAACACTTTCCAATGCATTTTATGAGGTAAGCATTACTCTGATACCAAAACCAGACTAAAACAGTACAAGAAAAGAAAATTACTGATCAACATTTCTCATAAACCTAGTGGCAAAAATCCCTATCCTTGTAGCAAAACATGTACTTTAGAGGTGTATAACCTGGGCTAGAATCCAGAGTCTGCCATTTACTAGCTACACCACTTTCACCAAATCACTTAACTTCTCTGATCCTGCTTCTCGTCTGTAAAATGGAGATTACTATTGATATGGTTTAGCTGTGTGCCCACCCAAACCTCATCTTGAATTTTAGTTTTCATAATCCCCATGTGTTGTGGAAGGGAGCCAGTGGGAGGTAATTGAATCATGGGGGCAGTTTCCCCCATGCTATTCCCATGATAGTGAGTAACTTCTCAGAAGATCTGTGGTTTCATAAGGGGCTTCCCCATTCACTCAGTTCTCATCCTTCTCACTCCTGCCACCTTATGAAGAAGGACATGTTTGCTTCCCCTTCTGCAATGATTGTAAGTTTTCTGAGACCTCCCCAGCCCTGTGGAACTGTGAGTCAATTAAACCTCTTTGCTTTACAAATTACCCAATCTTGGGTATGTCCTTATAGCAGCATGAGAACGGACTAATACAGTAAATTGGTACCACAGAGAGTGGGGTGCTGCTCTAAGGATACCTAAAAATGCGGAAGCAACTTTGGAACTGGGTAACAGGCAGAGGTTGGAACAGTTTGGAGGGCTCAGAAGAAGACTGGAAAATGTGGGAAAGTTTGAAACTTCCTAGAGACTTGGAGGGCTCAGAAGACAGGAAGATGTGGGAAACTGTGAGACCTTCCTAGAGACTTGTTGAATGGCTTTGACCAAAATGCTGATAGTGATATGGACAATGAAGTTCGGGCTGAGATGATCTCAAATGGAGATGAGGAACTTGTTGGGAACGGTAGTAAAGATGAATTTGCTATGCATAGAGACTGGTAGCATTTTTCCCCTTCCCTAGATATCTGTGGAACTTTTGAACTTGAGAGAGATGATTTAGGGTATCTAGGGGAAGAAATTGCTAAGCACCAAAGCATTCAAGATGAAGCAGAAAAGTTAGGAAAATTTGCAGCCTGACTATGCAATAGAAAAGAAAACCCCATTTTCTGAGGAGAAATTCAAGCAGACTGCAGAAATTTGCAGAAGTAACGTGGAGTCAAATGTTAATCACCAAGACAATGGGTAAAATGTCCCCAGGGCATGTCAGAGGTTTTCATGGCAGCTGCTCCCATTACAAGCCTGGAGGCCCAGGAGGGAAAAATGGTTTCATGGGCTGGGCCCAGGGGCCCCCTGCTTTATGCAGCCTCGGGACATGGTGTCTTGCATCTCAGCTGCTTCAGCTCCAGCTGTGGCTAAAAGGGGCCAACATATAATTCAGGCCATTGCTTCAGAGAGTGCAAGCCCCAAGCCTTGGCAGCTTACACATGGTGTTGGGCCTGTGGGTGCATAGAAGTCAAGAATTGAGGTTTAGGAATCTCTGCCTAGATTTCAGAGGATGTATGGAAACACCTGGATGTACAGGCAGAAGTTTGCTGCAGGGATGGAACCCTCATGGAGAACCTCTACTAGGGCAGTGCAGAAGAGAAATGTGGGGTTGGTGCCCCCACACAGAGTCCCCACTGGGGCATGGCCTGGTGGAGCTGTGAGAAGAGGGTCACAATCCTCCAGACGCCAGAATGGTAGATCCACCAATAGCTTACACCGTGCACCTGGAAAAGCTGCAGACAATGCCAGCCCATGAAAGCAACTGGAAGTGGGGCTGTACCCTGCAAAGCCACAGGGTGGAGCTGCCCAAGACCATGAGAGCCAACCTCTTGCATCAGTGTGCCCTGGATGTAACACATGGAGTCAAAGGAGATCATTTTGAAACTTTAAGGTTTAATGACTCCCCTGTTGGATTTCGGTCTTGCATGGGGCCTGTAGCCCCTTTGTTTTGGCCAATTTCTCCCATTTGGAATGGATGTATATACCCAATGCCTATAGCCCCATTGTATCTAAGAAGTCACTAACTTGCTTTTGATTTTACAGACTCATAGGTGGAAGGGACTTGCCTTGTCTCAGATGAGACTTCGGAATTGGACTTGGAGTTAATGCTGAAATGAGTTAAGACTTTGGGGGACTGTTGGAAGGGCATGATTGTGCTTTGAAATGTGAGGACAAGAGATTTGGGAGGGGTCAGGAGTGGAATGATGTGATTTGGCTGTGTCCCCACCCAAATCTCATCCTGAATTGTAGCTACCATAAACCCCATGTGTCATGGGAGGGACCCTGTGGAAAGTAACTGAATTATGGGGTCAGTTTCCCCCATGCTATTCTCATGATAGTGAGTAAGTTCTCACAAGATCTGATGGATTTATAAGGGCTTCCCCCTTCGCTTGACTCATTCTTCTCTCTCTTGCCACCTTGTGAAGAAGAATGTGTTTGCTTCCCCTTCTGCCATGATTGTAAGTTTCCTGAGGCTTCCCTAGCCCTACAGAACTGTGAGTCAATTAAACCTCTTTTCTTTATAAATTACCTAGTCTTGGATATGTCCTTATAGCAGCATGAGAACAATCTAATACAACTATACCTGCCCCCATAACTTTGTTGTAAAGATTAGATGCAATAGTACAAAATGCTTAACATAATTCCTGAAATACAGTAGCATTCAATAAATGTTGAATAGTATTTCTATTAATATTACTATTGGTATTATTATTGATGTTCCCATATATGTGAAAATGTGAGGTACATTAAAACAACCAAAACCAGAGTGGACAGTAGTACATGCCTTCTGCTCTTGTGAGAGCTGGATGGGAGTATATGTCCAGGGTTACAAAGCAAATGTAGTACATATTCCAGGGCCTGACCTGTGCGAAGAGATTAATTGGAGAAGAATGAAGCAGTGGAATTCCTCCATCCCAGGATTTATAGGAACAAAGGTAGAAGCATGACTTCCCTTCAGACATACATTCTCTGGTGAGAAGAGTGAAGTCCTGCCAATCTGAGGGCTTCTAGAGCTGAACAACCTACGTGTCCCGAGACTTACGACAAGTAGATTCTAAATCACTGTCACTCTGAGATGGATCACAGGAGGCGTAACACTCTTAACAAGGCACTTCAGATGCTTCTGGTACACATGATTTATTGTTTTGGACTGAATTGTGCGCCCCACCCCTGCCGCCGCAACCTCCACCAAATTTATGTATTGAACTCCCACCCACTAGTACCTCAGAGTGTAACTATATGTGGAAATAGAGATTTTAAAGAGGTGATTAAGTTAAAATGAGGCCACTAGAGTGGACCCTAATCCACTTTGACTGGTGTCCTCATAGGCAGAGGGGATTAGGACACAGAAACACACAGAGGGAAGACCACGTGAAGACACAGGGAGAAGACAACCACCTGCAAGCCAAGGAAAGAGGCCTCAGAAGAAAGCAGCCCTGCCAAGACCCTGCTGATCCTGGGCTTCTAGTCTCCAGAATTGTGAGAAAATTAATTTCTGTTGTTTAAGCCACCTAGTCTGTACTAGACTGCACACCAGCCTGGGTGGCAGAGTGAGATCCTGTCTCACACACACACACACACACACACACACACACACACACACACACACACATAAATGAGAATTATAACTGTGGATAAGAGCTCACTGCTGGGTGGCCAAAGCAAAAGTTAAAGCAAAATTCAAATCATGGTGATTTTTCTTAAAACTTTTTGGTGACTCTCACTGCTCTGAAGATACAAATCCTTTCCATAGCCTCCAAGGCCTTGCATGGTATGGCCTTGTTAACCCTTCCAGCTACTATCTCTATTATCTAACAATAGCCACTTGGCCTCTGTCAGATCTACGGTAGTCCCACATTCCTGCCTGTTTTGTGATATTTGCACATGCTATTCCTTTTGCCTTAAAACTTGATCCCCTCCTCTTTGCCTAACCAACTCCTACTTACTCTTCAGGCCCCATTTTAAGTGTCACTTCCTCGGGGAAGACTTCCCTGATCCGCTAAATTAGAAAAATCTTCTTTAGTGTTTGTTTTCTAGCACTTTCCTATCTTCCCTCATGGTGTTTATTAATGTCTGGCTCCCCCGTTCAATTGTGAGCTCCATGAGAACAGAGGCTATGTCTGCTTTGTTCACCACGGTCTCCCCAGTGACTGATATGATGTAGATGCTCAATGAAAATTTCAATTGAAGGCAGAGAGGCAGTACAATGTGCCCTAGGAGTGATGCCCCCCATGAGAAGCCTAGTAAGAGAAGTGACCTAACTACTTCCTTGTGCGTGTCATTCTGCCTTCTCAGCAGTTTCGCCCAAGCTCTCTATTCCTAGCCTCACCTATTTTTCAACCCATCTCTATATTTCAATTCTTAAAGCACAACAGTCCTCTCCCCTTACTCTAGCTTTTGTTTCCCAACTTTTATAAAAACTGGGCATAGAAAAGTATTTCACTTTTTTTTCCTAATGTCACTGTAAGAATAACAATGTCAGTTCCATGAAAAATGGTAACCAACTTTCAGATTCAACATCAAGTTGATATTATAATAAGGGCAGCTACTGCTCAGTTCCAGTCAGTTGTTGCTATGAGGAAATGAAGGCCCTGTGTGCCAGATTTCATTTTTTCAGGAGAAATCAGGAATGCATATTTTTGTATGAACCTTCCTATTTTTGAAATATTGGCAACTATTTTTTAATGTGAGCTTGTGTTAGCCAAATGAAGCATATCTATAGGCTAGAAGTGACCTATACACCACCATTTTGCATCCTCAAATTATAAGTAACTATAATACAAGTCAGAATAAAATCAGTGGTATAATGGAAGTAGAATCAGCATGTCATAAGATCATGTAGAAAAGAACAATTACAAAATGCACATTGCCATATAAACAGATAAATTTTTGTAAAAGATAGGCCAACTGACCCATTCATTTGCTTAAGAGCACAGCCAAGGCAGGTTTCCGTGCCCTGACCTTTGTTTGGCCTCCTGAGTCACACAGCTTGTCTAGTCATGGACTGTGACATGCTCTCTTGCCTATTTTTTGCCTCCTAGATCTTGGCAACAAACATAGCGAGTAAGGGCAGAATGACGATCAGAACAAAGAAAAATAAGCTTAGAAAGGAGCACAGTGTTCTTTCAGAAAAGCCCTACAGGAAATGAGTTCCATAAAAATGATTCTTAGGCCTGTGTATGTATTAACAAATCATTCCTAAGTGCACCCCTTGAGTTTGGGCATTTTGATTGTAATTTCCAATATTGCACATTAAGACCCTCACTTAAATCCCTTGCCTCATCTCTTCAGTCTCCTAATTTATCAAAACATTCAAACCTGTGTTTGCCACATAATCCTATCTTACCTCAATATTCTACTTTTCCTCTAGTGAAAACACTGCTAATTGCTATTTAAATCTGACCACTTCCTCAAGATAGTCAAGCTTATCTGGACTATTCCCACTATCTCAGCTCATTTCTCCACCCATGCTTCATCCTTTCCATTTCCCTAATCTGTAACTCTTTTGTGAAATATCTTTGTGTAGCTCCATAATTCATGGACTCTTTCATGATTTACCTTAAGTAATTAGTTTCCTGGAATATAGCCATAGTCCAAAAAACTAATATTCATAGCAATCTTGGTACTTCCTGAAGTGTTAGATTCACATTTCTGATGACAAGTTATACAAAGAAGTTTGAAGACTGAGGCATAGAGTCAGATGCAAGGATGTTTGCTGGAACATTGTTTGTAATAGAAAAAGACGAGATAAATACCAAATGTCTACTCATTAGAGAAAGGCTAAATGTACCAGGACACAGCCATCTGTGGATTAGTATGAATGTTTCATGTATAAATGGACATGAAAAATCCCCAGGATATATTGCTGAGAGGAAAAAGTAAGAGAAAAACACATACAGTATGATACTATTTATGTAATTGTTTTTAAACACAGCAGTATATATTTATATAGGCATTATACACACATGTTTTATTGATGCATAATAGTTGTATATCATTTCAAGGTACATGTGATAATTTAATACATTCATATAATTTGTAAAGATCAAATCAGCCCATATGCATTTTTAAAAGCGTGGGGGGGTAATTCCAAACTGATAACAATTATTACCTTTGGGAAGAGGAAAGAAGTTTAGGGGAAGAGGGAGGAATAAATGAAAACTTTAAATTGTTTTGGATATACATAATTTTGTTATATTATTTTGTTACTTTGGTATTATATGCCTCTTATAATAGAATATAGGGCCCATGAGAATAAGGCTGAATTTTTTAACATTTAAAAACTTGTTGTAAAATACACATAACATAAAATTTACCATTTTAGCCATTTTTTAATGTTTTTTGTCTGTTTGTTTAGAGACAGGCTCTTGCTATATTGCCCAGGTTGGACTCAAACTCCTGGACTCAAGCGATCTTCCCACCTCTGCCTCCTAAATAGCTGGGACTACAGGCACATGACACCATGTCTGGCTCATCTTAGCCATTTTCAAGTGTACAATTTAGTGGCATTAAATACCTACACATTATTGTGCAACCATCAACACCATCCATCTCCAGAACTCTTTTCATCTTGCATAACTAAAACTCTGTTTCCATTAAACAATAACTATTCATTACCCTCTTCTCTACCCCCAACAACTGTTATTCTACTTTCTGTCTCTACGAATTTGACTACTCCACGTACCTCATGTAAATGAAATCATGGCCGGGCACGTGTGGCTCACGCCTGTAATCCCAGCACTTTAGGAGGCCGAGACAGGTGGATCACCTGAGGTTAGGAGTTCGAAACCAGCCTGGCCAACATGGCGAAACCCCATCTCTACTAAAAATACAAAAATTAGCTGGGCATGATGGCAGGCGCCTGTAATCCCAGCTACTCGGGAGGCTGAGACAGAAGAATCGCTTGAACTAGGGAGGTGGAGGTTGCAGTGAGCCGAGATTGCATCACTGCACTCCAACCTGGGCAACAGAGCAAGACTCCGTCTCAAAAAAAAAGAAGAAAAGAAAAAAGAAATCATACAGGATTTGTCCTTTTATGACTGGCTTATTTTGCTTAGCGTAAAGCCCTCCCAAGTTTCATCCATGTTGTAGAATTAGTAGGATTCCATTGTAGGCATATACCACATTTTGCTTACCCATTCATCCACCAGTGGACATTTGGGTTGTTTCTACTTTTTGGCTATTGTGGACAATGCTGCTATGACCTTGGGTATAGAAATACCTCCTTGAGTCCTTGCTTTCTATTTTTTAGGGCACGTACTCGGAAGTGAAGATGCTCCTTGATTCATGATTGGGTTACATCCTAATAAATCCATTGTAAGTTGAAAATACTATGTCAAAAATGCACTTAATACACCTAAACATCCTAACCTCATAGCTTAGCCTACCCTACATTAAATGTGCTCAGAACACTTACTTCAGCCTACAGACAGACAAAATCATCTAACACAAAGTCAATTTTATAATAAAGTGTTGAATATTTCATGTAATTTATTGAATATGGTACTGAAAGTTAAAAAAAAACAGAATGGATGTTGTTTTAGTCTGTTTTCATACTGCTATAAATGCTATAAAGAACTGACTAAGACTGGGTAATTTATAAAGGAAAGAGGTTTAATTGACTCACAGTTCAGCATGGCTGGGGAGGCCTCAGGAAAGTTACAATCATAGCAGAAGGCAGAGAAACAAGGCACCTTCTTCACAAGGCAGCAGGAAGGAGAAGTGCCAAGTGAAGGGGGAAGAACTCCTTATAAAACCATCAGATATCGTGAAAACTCACTATCACGAGAGCAGTATGGGGGAAAATGACCCCATGATTCAATTACCTCCACTCCACCCTTGACATGTGGGAAGTATGGGGATTACAATTCAAGATGATATTTGAGCAGGGACATAAAGCCTAACCATATCAGATGTATAGGTACTTGAAGTGCAGTTTCTACTTAATGCTTACAGCTTTTGCACTATCGTAAAGTAAAAAAAATCAGCACTCTCAAAATTCTTGCCCATACCTACTTCCCAGCTCCTGCTAGTACATGTTGACCAGATGCTGCAGTTTCAGAGTCTTATCCAGTTCACATCTTAGCAGGCATAGCATATCCCCATATGGGTTACATTGTGATTTAACCCTAGTTAAATCAAACCCTATGTCCAGGAGGAGGGGGTGCAGGCACATGTTGTCTTGCAAGAGAGAGGCCTCTGTATTGTCTTCAAGCAAATAGGGCATGCTAGCTCTTAATAGGAAGGTGCAGGCCACTTCTACAAGCTCAGAGGTCTCAGGGAAATCTGGGAATTCAAGATTTTCAGGCCCAGAAGTCCCTATCCCATGTGTCAAGATCTCTTTCTTTTTCAACCACAGCCTTGACCCTGGCATAGCACACTTGTCTTAGTTGATATGTTAGCCACCTTTGGAGCTTGACTACTCTTACAATTAAGTCCTAGACCTGGTCCTTAGCTTTCTCTATCATCCTGCTGCAGGAAGTAAGAGCCTCTTTATATGCTACCAAAGAGGCTCCATGGCTTTCACTCTTAACTTAAAATTGCTAATTAATCACTTTCAGCTTTGTGTTATCTTTGTTCAGAGTAGCAATCAAACTTCAGAATAGCTACTAAATTCCATCTTTTTTAAGATTACTATTCTCCCCATAGTTCTCAAATGCCTAATATATCCCAATAGCTACTGTATCCCCTTTCACCAATGAAAGTTTTACCTGCACTTCTACCTATGTCAGGGAATATCAGTGCTCCACCTACCAACATTAATGATGTCCTCGATGTCATCTAGGCAGTGGTTGATCCAGATCCAAAATCCCATCAAGGTACCTGCTTTCTCAGACCACTCTTGTCATCAACTGTCACAGAGTCTGGGTTCCCCAAGAAACAGACCCTGAGATGGAGACCAGTGTGCAGGGTGTTTATTAGGGAGTGCCCCTTGAGATCAACACTTGTGGAAAGGAGGTGAAAGAAAGAGGATTAGTCAGAGGGAGAAGTGAAGCCATGATGTAGTTCTAATGAAGGCCTCAGCCAACCCCATGGGAGGCTCTGGAACTAGAATGACTGCTTGTCCCAAATTAGGTTGAGAGGGCTGGGCCTTTATATCCCTGCATTGACTAATCACTGAGTGTGGGCTGCCCTTGGAAAGAGGTATGAGGTTTCAATTGGGTGAGGCAGTTTTCTTTAGCTATGGTAATCTCTAGAGAGAACTGGCACCCAAAGGCCATCTTTTAGATGTGCTTTCAGCAGCTAGAGTAATAACATCTTCATTGCTGAAGGGAAATCTGGATGCCCCATTACAGCATTCACCACATGTGCTGACGTCCATACTATGTGAATGCAAACTCTTTCTGATCCACCTTCAAAGGGGTATGGAAAATAAAACATTCACTTGACCAGTAGCCATATATACACGTATATT
Organism: Homo sapiens; assembly: GCF_000001405.40. Taxonomy (NCBI): domain Eukaryota; kingdom Metazoa; phylum Chordata; class Mammalia; order Primates; family Hominidae; genus Homo; species Homo sapiens. The sequence continues at coordinate 68,264 of NW_021160027.1, read as the reverse complement.
AATCTACTTCAGTAAAGATATGACATCTAACACAGCTGTTACAGTCGTTACTACTACTTAGTTAAATTTGTGGTACTTCATTGTCATTTGCCGTGATTTATCTGGTTTTCTCAGGAGCCACACTGGTGAATTAAATAGGTATCTGATGGGGACTGCATTATATAAGTCTTTGAAGGCACTAAATTCTGCAATTCTCCCTGGGATGTAATGTGGTTTGTCAATTTCATTTATTTATTTACTTACTATGTTGGTAAGAGGGGATGAGAAATTTCTGAGGCTTTTGCTTGCCTTTCCTCCTACAACAGATTTTACTCTGCTGTTTAAATAATCAATATAGGGGTTCTGCAAACTTCTCAGTTTTGCCAGTCCAATTATACGTTCTGGAACTAGGGAAATGACCATCAGATAAGTCCATAGACCCAGCAGACCCACAGTGACCTGTTCTTGGGCCAGGACTCTATTCATTTATTTCCTGTCTCTCATATGTTCCCACTCAAACAGAGGGAGCTGAGTTTCTCTACTGGAAAGTTATCATTTTTCCCTTGTAATTAATAAATATCATGGGAGAGATACTTTGAAGCCCTACTTCTTCTCAAACTTTCTCCCACTAATTTTTTTTTTTGCTTCTTTTTTTTCTCCCACTAATTTTAACATCCATTTTGCCCACAACAATTACGGTGTTTCTTCAATGATTTTGTGTTTTTCTCATTTCTTACATGTTTGTTTATTGAAATTATTCAATTAAACCTGCACATTCTCCCCAGTGTTTAGGTGATTTCTAAGCCCACGTAGGGTTGATATTTTAGGGTTCATTGTATTTATCACAATTTGAAATAATTTTGTTTTTCTATCTAACTGGTATGGATCAGATCTGTCCCAATTTTTCAAACAGTCAAGCCCCTTAAGCAACAGTGCATTGGTAGCTGCTAGGTTAGCTTAGCACACTTCCATAGATTCAGCCAATAAGAAGACAACTAGCCCAAATGGATACAGTTTATTACTAACACAGGCAGCAAAACAAGATCAGTATGATGTTGCTAATCCCACAGGATGACACTGAATTAGAGATGTCAGATGGCAGATGACACAAGCAATGGGTCACTCTGGTGTGCAGAAGCCAACTCTAAATTATAGCCAAGCAGTTTATGCTACAGCTCTACTGAAGTGGGCTGTGTGTGTGTATGTGTGTGATGGTACAAAGCTCTATGTTTCACTGGAACCAGGGAGGCAAATAAGAAACTACCTCATGGCACCCTCCCACAAGATAAGGAGGCAGTTGAGAAATGAGCTTGTGACAACTTATCACAATATTTCTTATCTTGCCATGTTGCAGAGAGATCACAGAGTATTCCTCCAAGATTTGAGTCAGACCATGGTTGAACCTTGGCTGTGTGACATAGGTGAAGGTGTTCAAGGTCACCAGGGCATCACAGCAGAACCATTCATTCCTCTACACTCACAACTAGAATGAAAGTTCCATGAGTCTAATGTCTGTATCTGGCTTGCTATACTGACGGTACCTAGAATAGCGTCTGGCACATACTAGATGCTCAGTAAATATTTGATCTAGGAATAAATGAATGAATAGGGGTTTATAGTGTCTACTCTTATGAGGTAAGAAAGATGTGTCTGCCATCTCTCTCCCTACCTCAAAGTGGGATCCATGTCCTTTTCTTTCCTGGTTCTTCATCTCTAATGGTTTACTTCCATCAACTGCCATCCAACTTACTTGCACTACTAAATCAGATTGAACAAATGACATTTCTAAGATATTTATTTACTCCTCTTCCTTTTTCCTCATTGAATTTTCTTGGTATTTGCTAGGAACAGTCTCTAGAAAAGTTGAATTGACTATGTTAAGATGTTGGGTCACTGACTTTTCTCCTATAGCAATGTGGTTCTCAACCCTAACTGTACATTAGAATTAACTTTTAAAAGGAAAAAAAAAAAACTTTTTCTCAGGCTCCACTGCTGGAGGCTCTGATTTAATCACTTTCTTGTGGGGCCAGAATGTGGGTAATTGTTTTCTAACTCCCCAGGTGATGTTATTTTACATCCAGGGCTGAGAACCACTGCATTAAATAAAGTATAGGCTTGTAGCCTGCACCCAGTGTTTTTTGGTGCACCTGCTCTTGAGACCTTAAATATCTAACAGAAAACAAAATATTTCATTCCATAAAAGAAAGGGAAAAATCAAATGTGAATACCCTCAGGAGAGGAATTAGACTGACCTAAAGATAGTAGGGTTTGAGCCCTAGATTCCTAAATCAGATGATCTGAGTTGGAGTGCAGACTCTGCCACTTAACCACCAGATGATTTTGGACAACTAACTTAACTTCTCTAACATGGGAAAGTACCTATCAGTATGCCTGGCATATAACAGGTCCTCAATATATTTTTATTGACTCTGTATATGAACCTCTGAATTCCATCTGTAAGTTGAGTGTAATAATGCCTGCCTGCATCCTGGGGTTGCTGTGAGACTGAAAATAGATAATGGGCACGAAGGCACTTTTTTTAAAAAAAATGATGTTTTTATTTACTTTTTATTATTATTTTTTTTTTAGAGAGACAGAGCCTCACTCTGTCACCCAGGCTGGAGTACAGTGGCATGATCATGGCCTACTGAAGCCTCAAGAGATTTCTGGGCTGAAGAGATCCTCCCATCTCAGCCTCCTGAGTAGCTGGGACTACAGGTGAGCACCACCTCATCCAGCTAATTTTTAAATTTTTCTTTTCATAAGACAGGGTCTCACTTTGTTGCCCAGGCTGGTCTCAAATGCCTGACTTCAAACAATCCTCCTGCTTTGGCCTCCCAAAATGCTGGGATTACAAGAGTGAGCCCCCACCCGCTGTCATGACTGCATTTTAAAATGCTCAGGTGCTGTACAAATGAAAAGGATAAACATTATTTTTCTTTTGTAGTATTGTTAAACATGTATATCACTTTTTTAAAATGTTTTGAAGAACCTTCATGCCTGTGGTCCTATAGAGTGTCATGAGAGCCCTGGGAAGTAAATTAGGCATCAAGTTAACTGGTAAGAAAACTGAGATAAGAGAGGTTGTGTGATCTGCGCAAGGTTGTTCAGCAAAACTAAGACTGGATCCCAGGACTGTTAAATCAAAAGCAGTGATTCTTAGCCAGGCACAGTGGCTCACGCCTGTAATCCCAGCACTTTGGGAGGCCGAGGCGGGCAGACGGTTTGAGCTCAGTAGTTCATAGACCAGCCTGGGCAACATGGCAAAACCCCACCTCTACAAAAATATATATATATTAAAAATTAGCCAGTCATGGTGGCACGCACCTATAGTCCCAGCTACTCAGGAGGCTGAGGTGAGAGGATCGCTTGAGCCCAGGAAGTTGAGGCTGTGGTGAGCTAAGATTGCGCCACTGCACTCCAGCCTGGGTGACAGCACAAGACCCTGTCTCAAAATAAATAAATAAATAAATAAATAAATAAATAAATAAATAAATAAAACAGTGCTTCTCTTCACCAGATGACTGTTATAAAAGGTCTATTAATAGCTCCCCTTAAATAAGTAGATTGGTTATCTGATCAGAGTTCTGAATTGTTGAACATGTTGGGACAATTTCTCTTACTTGACCCATTCGAAGCATGGATTGTACCTGAGGAAATCCAATAAATATTTCCCAGGTCTATATTCAATCCTCAGGTACACGATTTGTTTTGGGTTTTTGTTTCCCTCCACCTCTAGTTTTTCTTATGAAATATTTCAGTAACCATGCTGTTGGTACGTTGAGCAAAAGAAAAAGAAACCTTCCCAATTTCACCATCATCACCTTAGTTTCTTACCATGTGATGCTTTTCTAATTTCAACACTAAAAAAATACAGTGAAAATGACAACACCAAAGATGAATAACCACAAGATGGCAGAGTTTACCATTTCATTTTTTTTCTTGTTTATATCATTTATTCATTCATTCATTCAAGAATTATTCCCTGAGTGTCTACTATGTGTCTAGTGCTTTTCTAGGAGTCTAGAGGATTACAAAAGAGGTTTACATGTGATATAGATCCTGCTCTTGATGAGCTTGTGGTGGGGGGAGCCTGTGGGAAAGACATACCTGAGAACATTTAAATGAAAATACATGGTAATGTGTGATTAAAGACCAAATGCAGAGTGCTGTATGAGTTTGCAATGAGCCAGAGAAGTCTGTATGGAGGAGGGGAGAACAGAGCTAGGGCTTGAAGGATGAATAAAATAGATCGATGTAGGAAAAAAGAATAAATCCCCAGCAAAGGAACCAGTGTGGTCTATGCCACTTAGGTAGAAATGAGCAAGACACAGTCCCAGGTTAGTGGCATGACTAATCTAGTTATAATAAACAGATATTGGGTAAACAAGAATGAAATAAATTAGATCTCCATTGATTTTGTTAGAATGATGCCCACCACGAAAGCTAAACTTATCTATTAAGTCTGCCACTAACTTATTGCCTTTAGGCAAGCCGCGTGACTGATTCAACTCTAGGGTTCTCCTTTGTAAAATGTGCAGGTTGAACAAGATGACCTCAAATAGCCCTTCCAGATCTTAGAAGAAAAGGAGGGAGGGAGGGAGGGAAGGAAGGAAGGAAGGGAGGGAGGGAGGGAGGGAAAGAAAGGGGAAAAGAGAGGAGAGGGAAAAGCTGATTCTAAGTTCCCTAGCAATTACTCTATGGCCTTTGACATGGTTCAGTTGCAAAAAAGAACAGTGATAGTCTGGTATGGTGGTTACAACTTGGGGTCTACTATTAGCTAGCCTAGTTCAAGTCTTGGATCAGTCACTTAATAGCTATTTAACAATAGGCAAGTTAGCTTAGCCTTTATAAGTTTCACTCATTCATTCAACAAATATGTATGTAACACCTTACTGTGTTAGTCAGGGTACTCCAGAGAAACAGAAACAATAAAATATATTTATATCTATGTATGTATTAATAGGAAGAGAGACTCAGTTGTAGGAATTGGCTCACACAATTATGGAGGTCAAAGAGTCCCATGGTTAGCTTTCTGCAAGCTGGAGAACCAGAAAAGCCAGTGGGATAATTCAGTCTGCATCTGAAGGCCTGAGAACCAAGGAGCTCTGATGTGTGAGAGAAGACGGATGTCCCAGCTCAAGAGAGTGAATTGACTCTTCCTCCAAATTCAGGTCTTCAATAAATTGTATGATGGCCACCCACATTAATGAGGATAACCTTCTTTTTACACTCTACCAATTCAAATGCTAATCTCTTCTGGAAACGCCCTCACAGGCACACCCAAAAATAATGTTTTACCTGCTCTCTGGGCATCCCTTAAGCTAATCAAATTGACACATAAAATTACCATCACACTTACAATATGCTAAGCCCTATGTTAGTCATTGGGAATAGAGAGATAAACAAGACAAACAAGATCCCTTCCCCGGAACTTATAGTTTTGTAGAGGAGATAGCCCAAACCCAGAAAATCAAACAGCCTGTTACAGCATGCTGAGAAGAAATAAAACTCCATCATGATACGTGATTGCGATTGAGTCTTCGTGTAATCTTGAAAAACAAAGGGAACTTTCAGGGAGGTAAGAAAGGCTACAGAAGAAGGTTGCAGTCAACCTTCTGAGAATTACAATGTATTGTTTACTAAACGTGCTGGCAACGTCATCTGGCATGCAAAAACAATGGACAAGGCCCCAAATGATTGGCTTTCTAAACGGTAGTAAACCTCAAGGGTACCAATATAAAATTTATTCTTTGCTAGCGGGGAAAAATATTTTAAAAAGTTAATCTATCCTTTTTGGACTTTTGTGTCCTGATTCTCCAAAACTGATCACTTTGAGGAAACTGAATTAATTACGCATGTCCTTTGTTTGAAGGATTTTTTTTATTTTTTATTTATTTATTTATTTTTATTTTATTTTATTTTTTTTGAGACGGAATCTCCAGTGCCAGGCTGGAGTGCAGTGGCGCGATCTCGGCTCACTGCAACCTCTGCCTCCCAGGTTCAAGTGATTCTCCTGCCCCAGCTTCCCGAGTAGTTGGGACTACAGACGTGCGCCACCACACCCAGCTAATTTTTTGTATTTTTAGTAGAGATGGGGTTTCACCATGTTGGCCAAGATGGTCTCGATCTCTTGACCTCGTGATCCACCTGCCTCGGCCTCCCAAAGTACTGGGATGACAGGTCTAAGCCACTGCGCCTGGCCTTTTTTTTTTTTTTTTTTTTTTTTTTTTGAGATGGAGTCTCGCTCTATCACCCAGGCTGGAGTTCAGTGGTGGGATCTCGGCTCACTGCAACCTCCACCTCCCGGGTTCAAGTGATTCTCCCTGCCTCAGCCTCCCCAGTAGCTGGGATTCCAGGTGCCTGCCACCACGCCCTGCTAATTTTTGTATTTTTTAGTAGAGATGGGGTTTCCCCATGGTGGCCAGGCTGGTCTTGAACTCATGACCTCAGGTGATCCGCCCGCCTTGGCCTCCCAAAGTGCTGGGATTACAGGTGTGAGCCATTGCACCTAGCCTGTTTGAAGGATTTAGATAACAGCCCATTTTTCTCCACTCAAATGTTATCTGATGTGCTAGCTGATGATAAATCATTGCTGCTCGTTTAGATAGATTCAGTTTTTAATTTTTTTTTTATTTTAGAGACAGGGTCTTGATCTGTCACCCAGGCTAGGGTACAGTGACACAATCATAGCTCACTGCAGCCTACGCTTCCTGGGCACAATTGATCCTCCTCCACCGCAGCCTCCCAGGTAGCTAGGCCTACACGTGCACACCTCCACACCCAGCTAATTTAAAAATTTTTTTTGTAGAGACAAGGTCTCACTCTGTTGCCTTGGCTGGTCTCAAACTCCTGGCTCAAGCTATCCTCCTGCCTCGGCTTCCCACAGCACTGGGATTATAGGCGTGAATCACCATGCCAGGTACCAGATTTATTTTTAAAAAAGATCTTTGGCTAGGAAAGCCTTCATGATCCAAGGGATTGAATCTCAAATGGTGGAATCTGAGAAATTAAGACATGCAATGCAGGAAATAGGTTCAGGAATGCCCATTGCCCTGTGTGGTTTAACTCAGGCAGTGGTTAGGAGCAGGTGTTTGAAATCACATAAGTGGGCTTTCAGATCCAATTGCAAATCCTAGCTCTGCAACATATTGGCAGGGTGATCAAGGTAAGTTAATTCAGTTTCCTCAACTGTAAAACAAGGATAAGAAGGACCTGTCTTACAAGGTTGTTATGAAGATTAAATGTGGTAACATACAGTCATTCAAGAAGAGCCTGGCATAATTTTTTAAGTGCTCACATATTTTTATTATTTAATCACGTCTGGTGATTAAATAGAGCTGGCTGTTGCCTCTTCTTTTCCGAAACCACGGAGGGCTCCTCCCAAACAGCCCTGGGACATTTATGGTCCCCGCCCTGTTTGCATTTCAGACCAAGAGTGAAAGGAGCTGCAATGATCAGGAGCCCAGACCATTGGTCCCACGTAACTGGTAACATCCACATGCAGGACATAAAGGGGAAAACTTGGAAAGACAGATGAAACCTGTGCCTTCCCTCCCCCAGATAAAAAACAAAAGCACGACCCGGTGCGGTGGCTTATGCCTGTAATCCTAGCACTTTGGGAGGCTGAGGCGGGTGGATTACGAGGTCAGGAGTTCGAGACCAGCCTGGCCAACATGGTGAAACCCCATCTCTAATAAAAAAAAAAATACAAAAATTAGCTGGATGTGGTGGTGGGTGCTTGTAATCCCAGCTACTCAGGAGGCTGAGGCAGGAAAATTGCTTGAACCTGGGTGGCAGAAGTTGCAGTGAGCTGAGATCGCGCTACTGCACTCCAGCCTGGGTGACAGACCAAGACTCCGTCTTGGAAAAATAATAATAATAATAAAATAAAAAAATAAAAAATAAAAGCACAGTTGAGCATAATTCTGCCCAGACTTCTGCTGGGAGAAGTTTGCACACTAGATACTTTTATATCCAAGCTACCAGGTCAATTAGCATCCCGAGTGCTTACAGGAGTGAGTAGCAGGAAGCAGGGAGCCTTTTTCCCATCTCCCCAACAACCACCCTGATGCCTCAGACACTTTTCCCTTTCCAGCAAACTGATGGAGTGGGTGCACTTCACAAGTGCCCTCTCTCTCCTCCTTTTACACTCCCTCAGTCTACTCCCAGAAACCTCCGGTGATTTCTGCTTTCTACTTTAGAGCCTCCAGATTTTTCCCCGATCCTTCCTCTCTATAAAAACATGCCTGTCCTATTCCCTCAAGACCTCACTCTTCACTAGATGTCAGTAATATAATTTGGGGTTAAAGCATGCTAATATTTTGGTTATGTTGTTTCTCACCAGTTCCAGATGCAAATTTCAAAGAATACATTATGAAAGATATTAAATCAACAAATATTTCTGAGGGCCTAGTATGTACTCAGCCTTGTGCTAGATTCTATAGCACTGGACTAAGGAGCAAACAAATTGGTACAGTGGGTCTATCCAGCCTTGTTGCTGACATCAGCAACCGGGAATGTGCTCTGGAAAAAAAAAATAGGTGGAACGTTAATATAAACTTTCTGACAGGCAATTTAGCCAGATGTAGCAAAAACTTTAAAAATGTATATAATCTTTGACCCAATAATTTTTCTCCAGAGAATTTATACTAAGGAAGTAATCAGGGATATATACAAAGATGTATGTACGATGATATGTATTGCAGCAGTATCTATAATACCAAAAACTTGAAAACAACCTGAATGTTCAAAATAGGGGGTTAGGTAAATCATTAATTCTGCATCCATATGATAGAATACTATATGTTCATTAAAGTTATATTAATAAATGATCATTTTATCCAGCCTGGCTCAAAATAAATTATTCTTTAAAGACGAGAAACAAATGTATTGCTGAGTATGAAAATTTTTGTTTTAATTTTATACACAGAAAAAAAAAAGACCGTGTATGGTTGCTCATGCCTGTAATCCCAACACTTTAGGAGGTCGAGGCAGGAGCTTGAGTTCACAACCAGCCTGGGCAACATAGCAAGACCTCATCTCTACTAAAAAGAAAACTAGCTGAGTGTGGTGGCACGTGCCTGTAGTTCCAGCTACTGGGGAGGCTGAGTCAGGAGGATCTCTGGAGCCCAGGAGTTTGAGGCTGCAGTGAGCTATGATCAAACCAGTGCACTCCAGCCTGGGCAATAGAGAGACTCTATGGCTAAAAACAAAACAAACAAACAAAAAAAATCCCACTCTAAATGTCGAAAAATAATGGTTATCTCAAATTGGTAGGATTATTAATAATGTTTTTGGGGCTACATGTTCTAAATTTTCCACAAGAAACATTCTTTTATAATTGGAAAAACAATGAAACTTATCTGTTTTTAAATGTAATATTCCTGGCCAGGCTCTGTGGCTCACGCCTGTAATGCTAGTACTTTGGGAGGACAAGGCAGGCAGATCACCTGAGGTAAGGAGTTTGAGACCAGCCTGGCCAACATGGCAAAACCCCATCTCTACTAAAAGTACAAAAAAAAAATTAGCCTGGCATGGTGGTGCATGCCTGTAGTCCCAGCTACTCAGGAGACTGAGGCAGGAGAATCTCCTGAGTCTGGGAGGTGGAGGTTGAAGTGAGCTGAGATGGTGCCAATGCACTCCAGCCTGGGCTACAGAGTAAGACTGTGTGTCCAAAGCAAAATAAAATAAAATAAAAATAAAATGTAATATTCCCTGAGACAGTTTGTCCTCCTTGTAACATCGAAGATTAACTATATTCCCAGGTTCTCCTAATGACACCATTTGTAGTTTTGCATTTACAAATGTGTCTGACATTTTTAATCCTTTTGATTTCTGGTTAGCAGCTTCTCAGACTATTATTTTTTGAACCAATTATAGATTCACAGAAGATTACAAGGCATGTATACCTTTTCCTCAGTATCCTCCAATGTTAGCATCTTATACAACTATAGTGCAATATCAAAACCAAGAAATTGACATTGGTACAATCCACAGTGCTTATTCAGATTTCAGCAGCTCTACATGTATATTTGCATGTGGTGTGTGGGTGAGTGTTTAGTTCTATATAATTTTACCATAGTATAGCCTTGCATCACCATCACTACAATCAATCAAGACATAGAACATTTCAGTCACCACAAGGATCCCTCTTGTTATTGTTTCATAACCACACCTCCCTCCCTCACTCCCTCTCAACTTCCCTAACCCCTAACAACCACTAATCACTCTTCCATCTCTATAATTTTGTCATTTCACGAAGATTACACAGATGGGATCATACAGTATGTCACCTTTGGGGATTAGCCTTTTTCACTCAACATAATCAGCATAGTCTGGAGATTCATCCATGTTGTCATGTGTATCGATAATTCATTCCTTTTTCTTACTGAGTAGTATTCCAAGTTATGGATGTACCACAGTTTATTCAATTATTCATCGTTTGAAGGATGTTTGGGCTGTTTCATTTTTGGCTATTACAAATGAAACTTCTATGGACATTCATATATATCTTACTTTACTATACATATATATATAAAAATATATATATATAAATATATATGTGTGTATATATATAAATATATATGTGTATATATATAAATATATATGTGTATATATATAAATATATATGTGTGTATATATATGTGTGTGTATATATATATATATATATATATATATATATATATATATATATATTTGAGACAGAGTCGCCCAGGTTGGAGTGCAGTGGCATGATCTCAGCTCACTGCAACCTCTGCCTCCCAGATTCAAGCGTTTCTCCTGCCTCAGCCTTCTGAGTAGCTGAGATTACAGGTGGCCGCCACCATGCCCAGCTAATTTTTGTATTTTTAGTAGAGACTGAATTTTGCCATGTTGCCCCAGGCTGGTCTTGAACTCCTGACCTCAAGTGACCTGCCTGCCTCAGCCTCCCAAAGCACTGTGATTACAGGCATGAGCCACTGTACCCAGCCTCATCTTACTATTTTTTAAAAATCCTCAATTTATGTCACCCAAGATCCCAGGAAACACTCCTCCTCCTATATACAAGGACTTGTTGAACAAATCCATGTTTACCTTACCCATACTGGCACAATTTTATGAGAAACAATCTAGATTAAGAAAAGAACATGGAATTATACTGTATTTTCTTGATGAATTATAGTTTTTTATTTATCCATCTTTGCCCCTCAACTATGAATTGAGGGGCAGGGTCCATGACTGGATTTCCTTTACACCTAGAGCAAGGCATGGGGCATAGCATAGAGTAGGTATTTAGAAAATGTTAGGATCTCTAGGGGTGGGTGGGATCCAGGGATAGATGTTTTATAACAAACTCCATAGATTATAATGTGCAGTCAGAGTTAATTTAGCTGAATAAACAAATTCATAAAGAGGAAGAAGCAAAGCTCACTGTAGGAGAGGGCAGACACAGGGCCGGGAATATAGATGTCCTATTATCATTTTTCACCTAAGATAGCGAGTTTTTTGGACAGATTACCCTCTAGACTGTATGGTAGGGAATCAGTGATTTCCAATTCTGTGTTTGAGAAGTGCTATTATTAAATCCCTATGGCTGACTGAAATAAAGAAAAGACAGCTTTCATCTGCTCTGTGGGGTTTTACCTATTTGAAAGACTGCCCCATACATCTTTTCAGCCCCAGACACCTTCCAGGGTTTTATGGAAGGGCAATTGGTGATATGAATTACCTGGAGGTACTTGCTTGTTTAGATGACATAATTATATTTGGTGGCACTTTGGAGGAGAGGAGCAATTGCTCCTCATTTTACTGGATCACTTGGGAAACACAGCCTGAAACTGTCCCTTGACAAATGCCAGTTCTGCAAGACCTCATTAAAATATTTTGGGTAGATATTTTTAAAAATCAGTTCAAACAAACTTTGGAACAAAAAATAATACGTTGGATATATAAAATCACAGCAGAGGCTGGGCATAGACCCTGAAAAGATCACTGAATGGCCAGTGTTCAACATTTAAAGACATTTGGGAGATTCAGCAGATACCACAGGAGCTGTTTGAAGGACTGTTCAAAGATTGCAAAGCTCATCAATGAGTTGATTCAGGATGGTCAGGTCAGAATTGGAGCACACATTAGAAAGGGCTGTGGAGTTGAAGAGGAAGGGAGAAGCAGGTACAAAATGCCAGGGCCTGACAGTGAGGAAGAGTGTTTGCGGCTCAACTACGTGGCCTATCAAAATAAAGCTGCCCTTACTGAGGGATCCCCCAGAAAGCAAACTAACAGACGAAGGAGTTTTCACCTGGGCAAACTTCTCTCATGTGCTCCTCCTCTTACTTCAACATTTTGGAAATTGTCAACCTGCTTGGCTCAAGGTTCTGTTTTAGCATATGCTGTCCACTACCTCCAAGACCTTTGACAAATAGATGCCAATTTTGATGACTTAGAAGCAGTGCTATGTCATAAAAATACAGAGGAGAAAATAACTACTGATTTTTGACAACTAGAATAGGTCAGCTGGTGAGACTTGGAATCAAGTTCAAAAATTCGAGTTTGCAGCACAAAAGTAGACAAGTACAGAAACATCCTCAGGTACTTGGTGCCCTGGAAGGCAGGGATGCTTATTTCAGTCTCCTGCTGCCCTACTGAGAGGGTCAGGTTGAAATCTCATATTGGAACATGGAAAGGCTGTGACACAGAGGTCTTTTGTTGTCCCCCAAGCTGAGAAGTGAGGTGAGAACTAATAGGATTCAGGTATGTGCCCTGGGGACAGCATCTCCCTTTCTTGAAGACTTTAAGAGGAATCAAAGGAATCCTGGCAGCCCAGGTTCTCACAACCATATTTGACATCACTTAAATAGTTGAAAAAGGTAGGCCCGGCGCGGTGGCTCACGCCTGTAATCCCAGCACTTTGGGAGGCCTAGGCGGGCGAATCACGAGGTCAGGAGATCGAGACCATCCTGGCTAACACGGTGAAACCCCGTCTCTACTAAAAATACAAAAAATTAGCCGGGCGTTGTGGCCGGCACGTGTAGTCCCAGCTACTCGGGAGGCTGAGGCAGAAGAATGGCGTGAACCCGGGAGGCGGAGCTTGCAGTGAGCGGAGATCACGCCACTGCACTCCAGCCTGGGCGACAGAGCGAGACTCCGTCTCAAAAAAAAAAAAAAGAAAAACAAAAAGGTTGAAAAAGGTAATAGTGTTGCCAAAAGCAGGATTGGTGATAGCAAAGGAGGAAGTACAAGGTTGCTTCAGTGTTAATGCAGTGCCTGTGGGCCCTCAATGGTAACTGTGAGTATAACCCTGAAGAAGAGGCCAGAAAGTTCTTTGGTTGATCATATTTAGGCCTCCTGTCTATCAGGAACACCACAATTGAGCAGCCAAGATTAGCTTTTGAGAGGATAGGTGTGGGCAAAAGCAATGACAGAACACTGTCTAGGATTTGCGGAAAGAGACACCTAGGGCATTTGGTTCATATTGGTGTGCCAAAATTTTGGGGGAAGGATTTGATCTGCTCACATCTAGGTCAGAGAAGGCACTGTCCTCTTCTGTACTCAACTGGAGGTTGATGGAAGGAAACAATAAGCCAGTCTTCCCTTGTAGGGATCTCCAGGATTTTCTCCCCAGGCAGTTTGTAACATAGTAGAGGCTTTAGACTCATTTAGACACGAATTCAAATCCTGGCTTTCATCCTTTGTTAGCTGTGTGAGCCTGAACAATTTAATTCACTTCTCTCAATCTTAGTATTCCCAACTGTAAAATAAGGATGATAATACAGACAGTCATTGTGCAGTTTAAATGAAATTAATATTTATTGATGCCTGACACCTACTAAGCACTTGATAGATTGTTGTTATTACTACAATTTGTGTTGATTACCATAAATTTTCATTTGGAAGAGGATAGTTTCGGATAGTGAAGAAAACATAAGCTTTGAATCCAGAAGACTCAACATTGCATCCTGGCTGTACCCCTATCTATGCTAGCTTGGGCAAACCAGTGTCCTTATCTATAACATGGCACACTCCAAATGACCATCACTATTTACCCCATCAGTAGTGGCAGATCCAAGTTTTGTGGGGCAGAAGCTTATATCATTTGGGTTAAATAAGTTTATTTTTAAAGAATAAAGTTAGGTAAAACCCTGAACATTTATTTAGAATGAGAAAACAAATCACAAGAAACTACAAGTTTTAAAACTGGCAAATACCACAAACATCACAAAATCAGGAAAAATAATATAATATTTTCATTATATTAGCTGACGCACCTCCACGCTACCTTTTTTCCTATATTTTTGTCTGCATATCTTTTGATTACCTCTTCATCCAATACTACTTTTGTAGTGTAATTTCTATGGAGAGAATAGAAAAACAATTTAGTTTTTCCCAAGAGTTTAGAAAAGCCTCTTTCAGCATGGCAACCCATTACTGGCTAATGTGATGTAAAGTTCTGGATTGTTGTCAAATTTAAGAAAACCTCTATCAAACCTCTATTATTTCTTTTATATACAAGCTGTAAGATTTTAGGATATGTCAGGTCTTTTATGTAATGACTAATACTTAAAAAGCTTTGAATTGACTACTTTAGAAGGGTTCCCATAAGTCATTACTGCACTGATACGGCCAGCAATAACTTAACTATACACAGAAGTGACACCACACCACATAAATATATTCCATTAGCCCCAAGTAAATGTATCTGCAACTCAATTTCTCTTCAGTCGTGAAGCAGCTACGTTGTCCAGGGTATATACCCCAGGTTCGTTGTCTCACACCAGGAAAATTTAGGACACGGACACACACAAGGAGTTTAGGAGTGGAGGTTTAATAGCCAAGGAAAAAGAAAGGAAAACTGCTCTCTCTCTAGTGAGAAGACAGGGGACTTCCCAGAGGAAAGGCCACCAGCCTTGGTGGATGCCCCAGATTTTATAGTCAGGCTTGAGGAGGCAGTGTCTGATTTACATAGGGCTCACAGATTGGTTGGATCAGGTATGATGTTTACATAGCGCACAGGGATGTGGGCTGCCCCACCCTAATCTTATTATGCAAATGAACTTTCCCCTTGGCAGACACCATCTGGTCTGCTCCTTACTGTACACGTGGCTGACGAAGAGAAGGGAAGATGGAGCCAACATCTTGAGCATGATTGGCACAACTGCTGGCATCTATGTCTGCAGCTTGATTTTACAGGCTGCTTTTTGTTAAAAAGGAAAATAATTTAGGGCTGCTTTTTATTAAAAGTAAAACCTTACAGAGGACTTCCGTTCCCTCACTATCTGCCTAAGTAATTTCTTCTTTTTTTGTGTTTCAAAATATACTCAATCTTTATTTGACAAATATTTTTAAATAAAAAATGAAGTACATGTATAAAAAAAGAATTTGAGATACATATAATTTACAAATCTGCTGATACTGATGTTTATTACTGACAATTTTATTTGCGTTTTTTTTTTAATTATACTTTAAGTTCTGGGATAAATGTGCAGAACGTGCAGGTTTGTTATGTAGGTATACATGTGCCATGGTGGTTTGCTGCACCCATCAACCCATCATCTACATTAGGTATTTCTCCTAATGCTATCTCTCCCCTTGCCCCCTACCCACCGACAGGCCCTGGTGTGTGATGTTTCCCTCCCTGCACCATATGTTTTCATTGTTCAACTCCCACTTAAGAGTGAGAATATGAGGTATTTGGTTTTCTGTTCCCATGATAGTTTGCTGAGAATGAAGGTTTCCAGCTTCATCCATGCCCTGCAAAGGACATGAACTCATCCTTTTTTATGGCTGCATAGTATTTCCTGGTGTATGTGTGCCACATTTTCTTTATCCAGTCTATCATTGATGGCCATTTGGGTTGGTTCCAAGCCTTTGCTATTGTGAATAGCACTGCAATAAACATAGGTATGCATGTGTCTTTATAGTAGAATGATTTATAATCCTTTGGGTATATGCCTAGTAATGGGATTATTGGGTCAAATGGTATTTCTAGTTCTAGATCCTTGAGGAATCGCCACACTGTCTTCCACAATGGTTGAACTAATTTACACTCCCACCAACAGTGTAAAAGTGTTCCTATTTCTCCACATCCTCTCCAGCATCTGTTGTTTCCTGACTTTTAAATGATTGTCATTCTAACTGGAGTGAGATGGTATCTCACTGTGATTTTGATTTGCATTTCTCTAATGACCAGTGATGATGAGCTTTTTTTCATATGTTTGTTTGCCACATAAATGTCTTCTTTTGAAAAGTGTCTGTTCATATCCTTCACCCACTTTTTGATGGGGTTGTTTGTTTTTTTCTTGTAAATTTGTTTAAGTTCCTTGTAGATCCTGCATATTAGCCCTTTGTCAGATGGATAGATTGCAAAAATTTTCTCCCATTCTGTAGGCTGCCTGTTCACTCTGATGGTAGTTTCTTTTGCTGTGCAGAAGCTCTTTAGTAATTAGATCCCATTTGTCAATTTTGGCTTTTGTTGCCATTGCTTTTGGTGTTTTAGTTGTGAAGTCTTTGCCCATGCCTATGTCCTGAATGGTATTGCCTAGGTTTTCTTCTAGGGTTTTTCATGGTTTTAGGTCTTTCATTTAAATCTTTAATCCATCTTGAGTTAATTTTTGAATAATGTGTAAAGAAGGGGCCCAGTTTCAGTTTTCTGCATATGGTATGGCTAACCAGTTTTCCCATCACCGTTTATTAAATAGGGAAACTTTCCCCATAGCTTGTTTTTGTCAAGTTTGTCAAAGATCAGATGGTTATGGATGTGTGGTGTTATTGCTGAGGCTTCTGTTCTGTTCCATTGGTCTATATATCTGTTTTGGTACCAGTACCATGCTGTTTTGGTTACTGTAGCCTTGTAGTATAGTTTGAAGTCAGGTAGTGTGATGCCTCCAGCTTTGTTCTTTTTGTTTAGGCTTGTCTTGGCTATGTGGGCTATTTTTTGGTTCCATATGAAATTTAAAGTAGTTTTTTCTAATGCTGTGAAGAAAGTCAATGGTAGCTTGATGGGAATAGCATTGAATCTATAAATTACTTTGGGCAGTATGGCCATTTTCATGATATTGATTCTTATTATCCATGAGCGTGGAATGTTTTTCCATTTGTTTCTGCCCTCTGTTATTTCCTTGAGCAGTGGTCTGTTGTTCTCCTTGAAAAGGTCCTTCACATCCCTTGTAAGTTGTATTCCTAGGTATTTTATTCTCTCTGTAGCAATTGTGAATGGGAGTTTACTCATGATTTGGTTCTCTGTTTGTCTGTTTATTGGTGTATAGGAATGCTTGTGATTTTTGCACATTGATTTTATATCCTGAGACTTTGCTGAAGTTGCTTATCAGCTTAAGGAGATTTGGGGCTGAGATAATGGGGTTTTCTAATTATACAATCATGTCATCTGCAAACAGAGACAATTTGACTTCCTCTCTTCCTGTTTGAATACCCTTTATTTCTTTCTCTTGCCTGATTGCCCTGCCCAGGACTTCCGATACTATGTTGAATAGGAGTGGTGAGAGAGGGCATCCTTGTCTTGTGCCGGTTTTCAAAGGGAATGCTTCCAGCTTTTGCCCACTCTGTATGATACTGGCTGTGGGTTTGTCATAAATAGCTCTTATTATTTTGAGATACGTTCCATCGATACCTAGTTTATTGAGTGTTTTCAGCATGACGGGGTGTTAAATTTTGTCAAAGGCCATTTCTGCATCTTTTGAGATAATCATGTGGTTTTTGTCATTGGTTCTGTTTATGTGATTGATTACATTTATTGATTTCTGTATGTTGAACCAGCCTTGCATCCCAGAGATGAAGCTGATTTGATCTTGGTGGAAAAGCTTGTTAATGTGCTGCTGGATTCGGTTTGCCAGTATCTTATTGAGGGTTTTTGCATCGATCTTATCAGGGATATTGGCCTGAAATTTTCTTTTTTTTTTTTTTTTTGTTGTGTCTCTGCCAGGTTTTGGTATCAGGATGATGCTGGCCTTATAAAATGAGTTAGGGAGGAGTTCTTCTTTTTCTATTGTTTAGAATAGTTTTAGAAGGAATGGTATCATCTCCTCTTTGTACCTCTTGTAGAATTCAGCTGTGAATCTGTCTGGTCCTGGACTTTTTTTTGGTTGGTAGGCTATTAATTACTGCCTCAATATCAGAACTTGTTATTGGCCTATTCAGGTATTTGGCTTCTTCCTGGTTTATAAAAAATAAAAGTAATTCATGGCTCAAGAAGAGTTTAATGTAATCAACTCAGAGATTTCACTGTGCATTCCTTCAGCTCTTTTATAGAAATACATTTATTAAAAAATGTTGCTCCACCCAATCCTATCCCTAAGGAATCATGCTTTTGAAATGTCAAAACAATCCTTTAACCTCCTTTATCTTTATCTTTGTTTCCTACTTCTCAGGCAATATCTACTCAGAGGAAAGTGGGTTACAATCCTATGGTGACTTAATTCCCTTAAAAACAGATGTTATGCACAGCTGGGAGTGGTGGCTCATGCCTGTAATCCCAACACTTTGGGAAGCCAAGGTGGGAGGGATCGCCGGGGTTTGAAATCAGCCTGGGCAACATAGTGAGACCCCATTCTACAAAAATAAAATAAAACATATTTACTAGGTATGGTGGCTTGTGCTTGATGCCTGTAGTTCCAACTACTCAGGATGTTGAGGCAGGAGAATCCTTTGGGTCCAAGAGGTTGAAGCAGCAGTTAGCCATGATCATGCCACTGCATTCCAGCCTGGGTGACAGAGCAAGACACTGTCTCGTAAAAAAAAAAAAAAACAGAACCAGTGGTTGTGACATCCTGTCAGAAGCCTTTTGGTGACCTGCAAATCCCGTCTGAATTAAAACAAAAACAAAAACACACTTTTTTTTTTGAGGCAGAGTCTCCCTCTGTTGCCCAGGCTGGAGTGCAGTGGCATGATCTCAGCTCACTGCAACCTCTGCCTCCCGGGTTCAAGCAATTCTCCTGCCTCAGCCACCCAAGTAGCTGGGACTACAGGTGCACGGCACCATGCGTGGCTGATTTTTTTTGTATTTTTAGTAGAGATGGGGTTTCACCATGTTGGCCAGGCTGCTCTTGAACTCCTGGCCTCAAGTGATCTGCCCACAACCTCCCAAGTTGCTGGGATTACAGGCATGAGCCACAGCACCAGGCCAAAAAAAAAAAAAAACTTTTTTGAGATCAATTTATATTATATCCACTGAATGTTTTATCTGTTTGCCATATGCTATATAATCTTTCAAGTAAATCCAGTTAACTAAATAAGCATTACAGAAATCACCATAATTTCCTTTAACAAATTATACTGGTTCAGATATGCTCTACTAGCTTTTCTGACATGACAGTCAAACTCCTCAGTTCTTGACCTCTATTGTCACATAAAAATCTTTTAATTATGGATATTTTCAAACACACACACAAAAGTATAGAGAATCACACAATGAAGTTCCACATATCCATGACTCAGCTTCAGCAATTACATTCTGCCAATATTAATCATCATTTTTTTATTTTGTTTCTTGGTTTCAAGGAAATTTTGAGCATTAGGCTCTAACTAGGAAGATGGCCATATTCACATTCTCACTTGAAATAAAGCTGTAACCTACATAACAGTTATCTAGATAGAGTCTAAAAACATCCCTATTCCCATATTTTCCATCTCTAACCAACCTACTCTTCACTCCCTCTCCTCCCCACCCCTGAGCTGCAACCAAGATTTGTCCCAACCAACTAATCTAACCCTTTCAACTATGTAAATATAGGAGAGGAGGACTTTGAGAATAGATTTGCTCAGCACACTACATAAGAGGCAAAATTGCCTTCTGACAAGTTTATATCAGGGTAATCCCAATTTCAATTCTTTACTTCCTAGAAAAGTGAACAAATAACAGGATTAGTACAAAACTTATTTTTAGCCCTTTAGTTCAAAGATCTGTTTAAAAGCATGCCTAGGCCTGACGTGGTGGCTCACGCCTGTAATCCTAGCACTTTGGGAGGCTGAGACAGGTGGATCACCTGAGCTCAGGAGTTCGAGGCCAGCCTGGCCAACATAGCGAAACCTCATCTCTACTAAAAATACAAAAATTAGCCAGGTGTGGTGGCTCACGCCTGTAATCCCAGCTACTCGGGAGACTGAGGCAGGAGAATCGCTTGAACCCAGGAGGTGGAGGTTGCAGTGAGCTGAGATCGTGCCATTGCACTCCAGCCTGGGTGACAGAGTGAGACTGCATCTCAAAAAATAAATAAATAAATAAAAGAAAAATAAAAGCATGCCTAGTGTCTATGTATGTAAAAGTGGATGTTAGGCAAACAAGGCCAGAATAGCAAGACTCAGAGTGAATACAATGAAGGAGGATTAAGTTATAGATATTGGGAAGGGGACCAATAGCTCTAGGGTCCCTCTGGGAGCCTATGTCTCCTCTAATCTTCCAAACAACTTCAGGTATAATCTAATTCCCATATTACATATGAGGAAACTGAGAAAACTCAAACCTCAGGAGTCCTGTGGCTCAAAGCACCCAGCTTGGGAGAGTTGAAGGAGAGAATTGAATCTTATCTGACTCCAAAGTCATGTTCTTTCTACCTAAGTGGTAAGGTCAGGAGCGCTAGACCCTCACACAGGGAATTGGTTGGGGTCTTCAGGACAATCCCTTTTGAGGTCTGAGCCTGAAAACAAATGCCACTTTGTAATGAGACTTTCTGTCTCTCTTACCAGATGGTCCCCTAAATTAGTTGAAGCCTGTGGGCCTTAAATATAAAACGGGAGGATGCATTTTGGTTATAATACAGCAGTTTGATTTAGTTACAAGTGTTATGCTTAAAATGGTAGAATGTGATTGACTTATGGCATTTTCTTTTTGAAGGATAGGACGGTTCTTTGTGCATGGTCAGCCCAACCCCTGATGGCTTGGCTGCTGTCCATAACAAACAGAACTACACCAGACAGACCTCAAAAAACAAGGGTTCTATAGTCATTTCCCTGAGACATCCCTGGGCCACAGCACCTTCACCCAATCTACACTGCTGATGTTGATTCTATGAGACCCACTGGTGGCAGCTCTTGCTGTTCATCGCTAGGCAAGAAATATTTCCTCAAGAAGCCCCCAGCTTACTGGAATAACATCCGCTCATTTCCTTCTTCAACATTAGCATTTACCCTATCCTGCCTGGATCTAGAAGCTGATCCCTCTGAACTAAAGATCTTCCCTTTTCTTCCCAACCGAGTGGGGGGACAAGAAGGAGATTTAAAACTTGCTTCTCTTTTACTCACATTCAGTATGACTATTTTCTCAAAATGTAAAGGCCCGTTCATCCAGAGCTAGGAAAAATACTGCTCTCACATCTAACTTTGGAACTGAGAAGTCAGTCTTTATTCAAATACACACGTTTCCTCCACAAAGCATGGCAGTTAGGGTGGAATGAAGGCAGCAGTGAAGCCTACTGAGGATCAAGCAAGGACAGAGAGAAAAGCAATGCTGAAAGGAAGTGAAGGGCAGTCTCTCTCAGAGAAGGCTGATGTGAATGGATCAACTGAGCCCAGAAGTTCGAGACCAGCCTGGCCAAGGTAGTGAAACCCTGTCTCTACTAAAAATACAAAAATTAGCCAGGAGTGGTGGCTCACGCCTGTAATCCCAGCTACTCGGGAGGCTGAAGCAGGAGAATTTCTTGAACCCAGGAGGCGGAGGTTGCAGTGAGCTGAGATTGTGCCATTGCACTCCAGCCTGGGTGACAGAGTGAGACTGTGTCTCAATAAATAAATAAATAAATAAATAAATAAATAAATAAATAAATAAAAATGAAAAATGAAAGCATACCTAGTGTCTATGCATGTCTCTCAGGGAAGACAGAAGGTGCAATCAGAGGGTTAAGCAGGCACTAGTGAGAAAGATAAATTCATGGTTGAGGAGAAAGGGAGAAAGAACTAAGTATTGGCCAGGCGCGGTGGCTCATGCCTGTAATCCCAGCACTTTGGGAGGCAGAGATGGGCAGATTGCCCGAGCTCAGGAGTTCGAGACCAACCTGGGCAACATGGTGAAACCCCATCTCTACTAAAATACAAAAAATTAGCCAGGCGTGGTGGCGCATGCCTGTAGTCCCAGCTACTTGGGAGGCTGAGGCACGAGAATCACTTGAGCCCAGGAGGTGGAGGTTGTAGTGACCCGAGATGGCACCACAGCACTCCAAAAAAAAAAACTAAGTACCAAGCACTATGCTAGATGTTTGATATGCATAAAGTAAGGAGGGACTGGAAATGGGGAGGAATGTATGTATGCTATTACACTATTTAAGGCAAGAAGTGATGAAGGACTTAATAAAGTGGTGGCAGTTTGAAAAGAAAAAAAATGGATGCAAGATTCGCTGTGAAGGGAGCATTGACCTGACAGCAACTGACTGGATGTAGAAGTTAGGGAGAAGGAGAAAACCAAGAGAACTTTGCATGTTCACAATAAGTAACTGGAAAGATAAGAGGACATTAATGAGAAAACAATTGTCAGGAGATGGATGTAGGTGAGGTTGATCAATTTGATTTTGGATCTATTTAATATTTTTAAATCTTTATTATGCAAGTTTTCAAACAGAGAGAAAAATAGAGAGAATAGGATATTGAAGCCCTATATACCCATTACCTAGCTCAACAATTGTCACCTCAAGGTCAATTTTGTTTTATCAATCTTACCTATTCCTCCCCTTCCTGAATTAAACTTGGAACTTTTTTTTATTTTTTCAAATGTATGGTTTTTTTTGTTTTGTTTTGTTTTGTTTTGTTTTGTTTTATGAGATGGAGTCTTGCTCTTTCACCCAGGCTGGAGTGCAGTGGTGCGATCTCAGCTCACTGCAACCTCCGCCTTCCGGGTTCAAGCGATTCTCCTGCCTCAGCCTCCCGAGTTGCTGGGATTACAGGTGCACGCCACAACACCTGGCTAATTTTTTTTTTTTGAGATGAATCTCGCTCTGTTGCCCAGGCTGGAGTGCAGTGGCGCGATCTCGGCTCACTATAAGCTCCACCTACCAGGTTCATGCCATTCTCCTGCCTCAGCCTCCCGAGTAGCTGGGACCACAGACGCACACTGCCACGCCCGGCTAATTTTTTGTATTTTTAGTAGAGACAGGGTTTCACCGTGTTAGCCAGGATGGTCTTGATCTCCTGACCTCGTGATTCGCCCGCCTCGGCCTCCCAAAGTGCTGGGATTACAGGCGTGAGCCACCGTGCCCAGCCACACCTGGCTAATTTTTTGTATTTTTAGTAGAGACAGGGTTCCACCATGTTGGCCAGGCTGGTCTGGAACTCCTGACCTCGTGATCCACCGGCCTCAGTCTCCCAAAGTGCTGAGATTACAGGCGTGAGCCACAGCGTCTGGCCTCAAATTTATTTATTTTTTAAATTGACATGTAAAATTGTTTATATTTATCATGTACAACATGATGTTTTTGAAGTATATATACATTGTAGAATGGTTAAATCCAGCTAATTAACAACTACAGTATCTCACGGTTAATCATTTTTTCTTGCAGTGAAAGCACATAACTTCAACTCTCTTTACGTTTTTCAAGGATACAATATATCCTTATTAACTATAGTAACCTTGCTGTATCATAGATCTCGTGAACATATTCCTCCTATCTAACTGTAAATATGTATCCTTTGACCGACCACCCCCCAACCCTTCTCCCTGTTAATACCCCCAGCCCTGGCAACCACTATTCTACTCTACTTCTAAGGGATCCATTTGTCTTCCTGTGCCTGGATTATTTCACTTAATATAATGTCCTCCAGATTCATCCATACTGTCACAAATAACAGAATTGCCTTCTTTTTGGTGGCTGAATAGTATTCCATTGTGTATACATACTACACTTGACCCATTCATTCACTGTTGGACACTTAGATTGGTTCCATATCTTGGCTATTGTGAATAGTACTGAAATGGACATGGATGTTCAAATATCTCCTCAACATACTAATTTGATTTTTCTTGGATAAATACCCAGTAGTGGGATTGCTAGATCCTGTAGTAACTCTATTTTTAATTTCTTGAAGGACTTCCATACTGTTTTCTGAATTGAATTATTTTGAAGTAAATCCCAGACATCATATGATATAATCCACAAACAATTCACTATATATTTCTAATTACAATTACATACAATTATCTCAACTAAAAACATTTTTTTTGAGACACAGTGTTACTTTGATGCCCAGACTGGAGTGCAGTGGCAAAAACACAGCTCACTGCAGCCCCGACCTCCTAAGCTCAAGTGATCCTCTCGCTTCAGCCTATTGAGTAGCTGGGACCTCAGGTGCATGCTAATTTTTTAAATTTTCTGCAGAGACAGAGTCTTGCCATGTTGCCCAGGCTGGCCTCAAACTCCTAGGCTCAGGCAATCCTCCTGCCATGGCCTCTCAAAATGCTGAGATTACAGGCATGAGCCACCATGCTTGGCCACCTAAAAAATCAACATTAAGCCTGTAACGTAATCAAATATCCATTAAGCATTTAAATGTTCTCAATCATTTACTTGTTTGTTTACAGTTGATTGTTTGAAATCAGGATCCAAATAAGCAGATTCACTGAACGTTGGATTCTATCTGAAGCAGTCATATGGAGATATCAAGCAGGCAATTGAAATTTCAGGTCCAAAACTCAAGGAAGACATAGAGGCCAGAAATATGGATTTGGAAATCATCCTCCCAGAGGGAGTAGTTGAAGCTATTTGACTAGATGAAGCTATTGAGTAGATATCATAGGGGGAGAATATAGCAATTAAAATGACCCAAGGAAAGAAATTTAGAATGACTGTATTTGGGAAGAAGAGAAAGAGACACCAAGAATGGGGATAAGGAGGGAATAATTTGAAAGAAATGAGAAGTTGAAAGGTTGGATTGGGTGCAGTGGCTCACGCCGGTTAATTCCAGCACTTTGGGAGGCCATGGTGGGAGGATGGCTTGAGGCCAGGAGTTTGAGACCAGCCTGGACAACATAGTGTCTCTACCAAAAAAAAAAACTATAAACAAACAAGTAAATGATTGAGGAAGAAAAGAAAAGAAGAAAAGTCGAAAAAGAAAACAAGACATTGGTGTTGTAACTGAAACCAAGAAATGAAATCTTTGCAGGAGGGAAGACCTGTTTTCCATCTAAAGAGCCTTGGGCTAGGACTTACTCCCTGCTCTATTGTGTGACTTTCTGGATGTGTTGTGTGTAGCAAATTGCCTCCCTAAGGCCAAGATTCTTCAGATGTAAAAAATGAATAAAACCAGTCTTTCTGGTTAAAATGCAGCTATGAGGATCAAGTAAGAATGCATGTGAAGAAGGCCCTTGTTGGCTATAAAGCACTGGACAAATATGAGAGACTGTTCATTCGTTAATCTTTATTATTATTTTTATAAACAATGTGAAAATGTAATTTAACTGTTGAATGGAGGATTTGAATATTGGAAAATTCTGAATTTGAGAGGCCGTAATTCTTCAAGAATCTCATGAGATACAATAGTTGGCTTTTATTGAGCATCTACCATGTGCTAGGCACTGTTTTAAACCCCCTACATACCCTACCTTATTTAATCCTCACGAAAACTTTATGAGTAATAATAGGTACTATTATTAATCTTGTTTTACAGATGAGGAAGCTGCGGTTGAGAGAAGCGAACTGATTTGTCCCAGGTCACACAGCTAGGAAGTGGTAGGACCAAATCTCAAAACCAAGTCTTTCCCATCTCAGAGCAGGATCTCTTAATCACAACACTAAGTTTCCTCTTTAAAATATGCCTTGGAAAATTAGATCACCATATTGCAACTCTAGTGAATTACCAATCTAGATATTGAGCATCAAAGACAGCTATCATCACAAAGAGAGACAACCAGACATTATGTGTCTCCTGAGTGAAACAAGCACCACCCCCTATGAAACAGTTTTGCCTTAAAAAAAAAAAAAAAAAGACCATGCGCGGTGGCTCACGCCAGTAATCCCAGCACTTTGGGAGTCCTAGGCCGGTGGATCACTTGAGGTCAGGAGTTCAAGACCAGCCTGGCCAACATGGTGAAACCCCATCTCTACTAAAAATACAAAAAATTAGCCCAGCATGATGGCGGGCACCTGTAATCCCAGCTACTCAGGAGACTGAGGCAGGAGAATCATCACTTGAACCTGGGAGGCAGAGGTCGCAGTGAGCCAAGATCATGCCACTGCACTCCAGCCTGGGAGACAGAGCAAGACTCCATCTCAAAAAAAAAAAAAAAACCTGGGCCAAGCTCGGTGGCTCACGCCTGTAATCCCAGCACTTTGGAATGCTGAGGCAGGAGGATCCCTTGAGCCCAGGAGTTCGAGACCAGTCTGGGCAGTATAGTGAGACCAGGGAGACTTCGTCTCTACAAAAAATAAAAGTAAAAAAATAGGCGGGTGTGTTGGCACATACTTGTAGTTACAGCCACTTGGGAGGCTGAGGCGGGAGGATTGCTTGAGCCCAGGAATTTGAGGCTTCAGTGAGCCATGATTGTGCCACTGTACTCCAGCATGGGCAGCAAAGTGAGACCCTGTCTCAAAAAAATATTGATCTTGAATCTAGCATAGCCTTGAGATTAAGCTTAGTGTTGCCAGGTAAAATTCAGGATGCCCAGTGAAAAGTGAATTTCAAATAAACAACTATATATAGGCCGGGCGCAGTGGCTCACGCCTGTAATCCCAGCACTTTGGGAGGCCGAGGCGGGCAGATCACGAAGTCAGGAGATTGAGACCACCCTGGCTAGCATGGTGAAACCCCGTCTCTACTAAAAATACAAAAAATTAGCCGGGCATCGTGGTGGGCACCTGTAGTCCCAGCTACTCGGGAGGCTGAGGCAGGAGAATGGCATGAACCCGGGAGGCGGAGCTTGCAGTGAGCAGAGATGGCGCCACTGCACTCCAGCCTGGGCGACAGAGCGAGACTCCACCTAAAAAAAAAACACAACTATATATATACATATATATATAGTTTATTTATTTGTATATATTATATATATAAATTATATGTTTATATGTGAACTATATATGTGAAATTTATATAAATATATATTTATATAAATATATATATATATTCATGTAAGCACGTCCCATGCAATATTTAGTATGTCCCATACATTATATTTGGGACATGCTTATACTACAAAACCATTCATTGTTTATCTGAAATTAAATTTAACTGGGAGTCCTGCATTTATCTTTCTGAATCTGGCAACCCTACTTTACTTTTTATTTTATTTTTGTTTTTTTGAAATGGGGTCTCACTCTGTCGCCACAATGGAGTGCAGTGACGCGATCATAGGCTGAAGTTAGCTCACTGCAGCCTCCACCTCCTGGGCTCAGGCAACCCTCCCACCTCAGGCTCCCAAAGTGTTGGGATTCCAGGCGTGAGCCACCATCACACCCAGCCCAGCCCTACTTAAGATCCAACTACCTGTTTATGAGGAACACAAAAGACAGAGAAATATATTAAAGGAACCAGGATGAGGCAATCAGCACCAGACTAGGTAAAGGTACAAGAAAATAAGGCTGGGTGCAGTGGCTCATGACTGTAATCCCAGCACTTTGGGATGCCAAGGCAGGAAGATCACTTCAAGCCAGGAGTTCAAGAACCACTCTGGGCAACAAAGTGCATTTTTACAAAAAATTAAAAAAAAAACATCTGGGTGCAGTGGCATGAGCCTGTAGTCCCAGTTACTTGGGATGCTGAGGCAGGAGAATCACTTGAGCCCAGGAGTTTGAAGCTGCAGTGAGCTATGATTGCACCACTGCACTCCCGACTGGGTGACAGAGTGAAACCCTGTCTCTAAAACAAACAAAAAAGACAAACAACCAGATTTCTTCAATAAATAAATATCAAGGGGAGAAAGAGAGAGAAGAAACCTATAGACAACAGAGAACTAAGAGACACATAAACAATCACAATGTGAAGACTATTTGGATTCTGATTCAGACTATTAAAAAATCACATTTGTGATATTGGTAATTTGAACACAGACTGGATGTTTGATCATATTAAGGAATTTTTTAGTTGTTCTAGTGGTATTGTGGGTTTTTCTTAAGAACTCCTTATGTCTTATAGAGATATACAGAAATGTTTGTGGATGAAATTATATAAATTTTTTTTTTTGAGACCGAATCTCGCTGTCGCCCAGGCTAGAGTGCAGTGGCGCGATCTCGGCTCACTGCAGGCTCCGCCCCCCGGGGTTCATGCCATTCTCCTGCCTCAGCCTCCCGAGTAGCTGGGACTACAGGCGCCCGCCACCATGCCCGGATAATTTTTTGTATTTTTAGTAGAGATGGGGTTTCACTGTGTTAGCCAGGATGGTCTCGATCCCCTGACCTCGTGATCCGCCCGCCTCGGCCTCCCAAAGTGCTGGGATTACAGGCGTGAGCCACCGCGCCCGGCGAAATTATATAAAATTATATAATGTCCAGGAGACACTTTTGAATAATCTAGAAAGGAATGAAATACGGGTACAGGTATAACTAGACTGGCTTTGAGTTGATGATGTTAAATCTACATAAAAAGTGATTTCATTATAGTTTTTTTTCTACTTTTGTATATGTTTGAAATTACCCATAATAAAAAAGTTTAAATAATGATTAACACAATGCCGGATGTATTGCAAACACTTAATATATGTTTGCTGGAGGGTGAATGGGTTTGTTAATTTAAAAAAAAGAAAGCTCTGGTTGGGCGCTGTGGCTCACGCTTGTAATCCTAGCACTTTGGGAGGCCGAGGAGGGTGGATCACTTGAGGTCAGGAGTTTGAGACCAGCCTGGCCAATATGGTGAAACCCTGTCTCTACTCAAAATACAAAAAAATTAGCCAGGCGTGGTAGTGTGCACCTGTAATCCCAGCTACTTGGGAGGCTGAGGTTCAAGAATCGCTTGAATCCAGGAGGTGGAGGTTGCAGTGAGCTGAGATGGCGCCACTGCACTCCAGACTGGGCAACAGAGTGAGACTCTGACTCAAGAAAAAAAAAAAACCCTCAGATGGCCATCAAATAAAAAAAATTTTTGAAATGAAATTACAAGCATGAATATGCCTGAACACACAAATGAGATTCATTTAAAGATTACACCATACACAAATGGAAACAATACATTTGTTCAGACAAGAGAGTTTGTTTATTGAACATGAACAGTTGAGAAACTCTGGGCAGAAGAGATACATATATTATAGGCACTTTATTAAGGTAATCACAGAAAACATTTTTAACCCTTCAAAAAGATGTTATGCGGAAAATTCACTGTAGATGTCCTTCAATATTTTTTATTCCAGCGAACTCTTGTGGAAAGCTGTCTTAATTTCCCAAAGGCCTTTGGGCAGATTTGAGTGCTCACGTGCAAGTGAATCACTAATTACTAGAAATTAATGACCTCTCATGCTGAATAATGCATGCATTTGATAGAAGAGCCTTACCCAAAATGCAGTGTCGTCAGTTTTTAATGCATTCTTGCCTTGCCTGCTGTGTACATGAATGCAACCAAATTCAAAGCAACTCTCCCACACAAGGTGTAGCTTACTGTGTTTAAGGAAGTGTTTAGTATAGGTTAGTGAAATAAGCTCTCTATTTTATGCTTAATATTCCATTATATGGATGTACCATAATGAACTCAAACATTCCCTTATTAATGGCTATTTCCCACTTTTGCTATTATAAACAAGAATATCCAGTTTCAATTTTCTGCATACGGCTAGCCAGTTATCCCAGCACCATTTATTGAATAGGGAGTCCTTTCCCCATTGCTTTTTTTTTTTAACTTTGTCAAAAATCAGATGGCTGTAGGTGTGAAGCATTATTTCTGAGCTCTCTATTCTATTTCATTTGTCTATGTGCCTGTTTTTGTACCAGTACCATGCTGTTTTGGTCACTGTAGGCCTGTAGTATCGTTTGAAGTCAGGTAACTTGGTGCCTGCAGCTTTGTTCTTTTGCTTAGAATTGCCTTGGCTATTCAGGCTCTCTTTTGGTTCCATATGCATTTTTAAATTGTTTTTTCTAATTATCTGAAGAATGTCACTGGTAGTTTGATAGGAATGACATTGAATCTGTAAATTTCTTTGGGCAGTATGGCCATTTTAACATATTGACTCTTCCTATCTATGAGCATGGAATGTTTTTCCATTTGTTTGTGTCATCTCTGATGTCTTTGAGCAGTGTTTTGTAGTTCTCTTTGTAGAGTTCTTTCACCTCCCTGGTTGCTGTATTCCTAGGTATTTCATTCTTTTGTGGCTATTGTGAATGAGACTGTGTTCCTGATTTGGCTCTCAATTGGATGTTGTTGGCATATAGGAATACTACCGATTTTTGTACATTGATTTTGTATCCTGAAACTCTGCTGAAGTTATCAGATCAAGGAGCTTTTGGGCAGAGACTATGGGGTTTCCTAGATGTAGAATCATATCATCCACAAACAGGGACAGTTTGACTTCCTCTCTTCCTATTTGGATGTCATTTATTTCTTTCTCTTGCCTGATTGCCCTGCCCAGGACTTCCAATACTATGTTGAATAGGAGCGATGAAAGAAGGCATCCTTGTCTTGTGCCAGTTTTCAAGGGCGAATGCTTCCAGCTTCTGCCCATTCAGTATTATGTTGGCTGTGGGGCTGTCACATATGGCTCTTATTATTTTGAAGTATGTTCCTCTTCCTTACACCATACACAAAAATCAACTCAATGTAATCCCAGCACTGTGGGAGACCAAGGCAGGCAGATCACAATGTCAGGAGTCTGAGGCCAGCCTGACCAACATGGTGAAACCCCGTCTCTACTAAAAATACAAAAATCAGCCGGGCATGCTGGTGCATGCCTGTAATCCCAGCTACTCAGGAGGCTGAGGCAGGAGAATCGCTTGAACCCGGGAGGCGGAGGTTGCAGTGAGCCAAGATTGCACCACTGCACTCCAGCCTGGGCGACGGAGCGAGACTCCGTCTCAAAAAAATAAAAATAAAAAATAAAAAAATAAACTCCAGATAAATTAAAGACTTAAATGTAAAACCTAAAACTATAAAAACCCTGAAAGATAACCTAGAAAATACTAAATGGCATAGGCCCTGGCAAAGATTTCATGACAAAGATGCCAAAAGCAATTGCAACAAAAACAAAAATTGACAAATGGGACCTAATTATCCAAAGAGCTTCTGCACAGCAAAAGAAACTCTCAACAGAGTAAACAGACAACCTACAAAATGGGAGAAAATATTTGCAAACTATGTATCCAACAAAGGTCTAATATCCAGAATCTATAAGGAACTTAAATGAATGTACAAGCAAAAAACAGCACCATTAAAAAGTGGGCAAAGGACAATGATATTGTTTGGCTTTGTGTCTCCACCCAAATCTCATCTCGAATTGTAATCCCCACGTGTCCAGGGAGAGACCCAGTGAAAGGTGAATGGATCATGAGGACGGTTTCTCCCAAGCTGCTCTCATGATAGTGAGGGACTTCTCACTAGAGCTGATTGTTTTAAGTGTAGCACTTCCTCACTCTTCCTCTCTCTCTCTCCTGCCACCATGAGGAGACATGCCTTGCTTCCCCTTCACCTTCCACTATGATTGTACGTTTCCTGAGGCTTCTCTAGCCATGCAGAACTGTGAGTCAGTTCCGGCACAGTGGCTCAAGCCTGTAACCCCAGCACTTTGGGAGGCCGAGGTGGGTGGATCACCTGACGTCAGGGGTTCAAGACCATCTGGGCCAACATGGTGAAACCCTGTCTCTACTAAAAATACAAAAATTAGCTGGGTGTGGTTGCATGCGGCTGTAGTCCAAGCTACTCGGGAGGCTGAGGTGGGAGAATTGCTTGAACCTGGCAGGCAGATGTTGCAGTGAGCCGAGATTGTGCCACTGCACTGCAGCCTGGGCAAAAGAGTGAGACTGTCTCAAAAAAAAAAAAAAAGAAGAAGGAAAAGAATAAGTGTGAGTCAATTAAACCTCTTTCCTTTATAAATTATCCAGTCTCAGGTAGTATCTTTATAGCAGTGTGAAAACAGACTAATACAGACATGAACAGGCACTTCTCAAAAGAAGACATACATGTGGCCAACAAATATATGAAAAAATGCTCATCATCACTAATCTTTAGAGAAATGTAGATCGCAACCACAGTGGGATACCATCTTGTGCCAGTCAGAATGGCTATTATTAAAAAGTCAAAAATAGCAGATGCTGGTAAGGTTGTGGAGAAAAGGTAATGTTTATACACTTCTGGTGAAAATGTAATTAGTTCAGCAATTGTGGAAAGCAGTGTGGTGATTCCACAAAGGGCTTAAAACAGAATTATCATTTGACATAGCCATCCCATTATTGAGAATATACCCAAAGGAATATAAGTCATTCTACCATAAAGACATATGCATGCATATGTTTATTGCAGCACTGTTCACAATACCAAAAACATAGTATCAACCTAAATGCCCATCAATGGTAGACTGGCTAAAGAAAATGTGGCATGTATGTACCATGGAATACTATGCAGCCATAAAAAAGAATGAGACCATGTCCTTTGCAGCAACATGGATGGAGCTGAAGTCATTCTCATAAGCAAACTAACATAGGAACAAAGAAAAAAATACCACATGTTCTGTTTTTTATTTTTTGAGACAGAGTCTCGCTCTGTCACCCAGGCTGGAGTGCAGTGGTGCGATCTCGGCTCACTGCAACCTCTGCCTCCCAGGCTCAAGTGATTCTCTTGCCTCAGCCTCCCGAGTAGCTGGGACTACAGTTGTGTGCCACCATGCCTGGCTAATTTTTTTTATTTTTAGTAGAGATGGGGTTTCACCATGTTGGCCAGGTTGGTCTCAAACTCCTGACCTCAGGCAATCTGCCTGCCTTGGCCTCCCAAAGTGCTGGGATTACAGGCGTGAGCCACTGCGCCATGCCTTTTTTTTTTCTTTTTTTGAGACAGAGTTTTGCTCTTGTCGCCCAGGCTGGAATGCAATGGTGTGATCTTGGCTCACTGCAACCTCTGCCTCCCAGGTTCAAGCAATTCTCCTGCTTCAGCCTCCCGGGTAGCTGTGATTACAGGTGTGTGCCACCACACCCAGCTAATTTTGTATTTTTAGTAGAGACGGGGTTTCACCATGTTGGTCAGGCTGGTTTCGAACTCTTGACCTCAGGTGATCTGCCCGCTTTGGCCTCCCAAAGTGCTGGGATTACAGGCGTGAGCCACCACACCCGCACTCTCATTTATAAGTGAGAGTTAAACAATGAGAACACATGACACAAAGAGGGGAACAACAGACACCAGAGATTACTTGAGCGTGGAGGGTGGGAGAAGGAGAAGATTAAAAAACTAACTATTGGGAACTATGCTTATTACCTGGGTGACAAAATAATTTGTATGCCAAACCCCCAAGACATGCAGTTTACCTATATAACAAACCTGCACATTACCCCTTAACCTAAAATGAAAGTTAAAAAAAAAAAAAAAACTGCTGGCTTGACACAGTGGCATACGCCTGTAATCTCAGCACTTTGTGAGTCCGAGGCTGGAGAATTACTTGAGGCCAGAGCTCAAGACCAGCCTGGGCAACACAGCAAGCCCCTGTCTCTACAAAACATTATCCAGGGTGGTGGTGCCTGCCTGTAGACCCCATATTTGGAAGGCTGAGGCAGGAGGATTGCTTGAGCCTAGGAGTTGGAGGCTGTAGTGAGCCATGATTGCACCACTACACTCCAGCCTGGGTGTCAGAGTGAGACCCTGTCTCTAAACAAAAACAAAAAACAAAAACAAAAACAAAAACAGAAAAACAATAATGCATTTGCCCCTATTTCTGTGGGAGAGATCACTAGAATGGGTTTGCTGGGCCAAAAAGTATGAACATCTTAATTTTAATAGATACTAATTGCACATGTTTTTTAAATTAAGGCTGAGATATGGAATGTTGTTTTAAAAAAAACGCCATTACTGGCTGGGCGTGGTGGTTCACGCCTGTAATCTCAGCACTTTGGGAGGCCAAGGCAGGTGGATCACCTGAGGTTGAGAGTTGGAGACCAGCCTGACCAATGTAGTGAAACCCTGTTTCTACTAAAAATACAAAAATTAGCCAGGCGTGGTGGCATGCGCCTGTAGTCCCAGCTGCTCGAGAGGCTGAGACAGGAGAATTACTTGAACCTGGGAGATGGAGGTTACAGTGAGCCAAGATCACATCACTGCACTCCAGCCTGAGTGACAGAGTGAGACTCTGTCTCAAAAAAAAAAAAAAGCCATAAGTCAATCATCTCACTAACTTTATTTAAAATGCTAAGTATATGTAAGTTATTTGTCAAGTAAAGAACTGGGTTCTTAGACAATTTCTTATTAACAGAGCTTTTGGTGTTGAAAATCCCATGGTTTATTCTGTCTCAGAGCATCTTATGTCAATTTTGTGTGTGTGTGTGTGAGACGGAGTCTCGCTCTGTCACCCAAGCTGCAGTGCAATGGCATGATCTCGGCTCACTACAATCTCCGCTTCCCAGTTTCAAGCGATTCTCCTGCCTCAGCCTTCCAAGTAGCTGGGATTACAGGCGTGCGCCACCACGCCTGGCTAATTTTTTGTATTTTTAGTAGAGACGGGGTTTCACCGTGTTAGCCAGGATGGTCTCGATCTCCTGACCTCAGGTGATCCGCCTGCCTCGGCCTCCCAAAGTGCTGGGATTACAGGTGTGAGCCACCATGCCTGGTCTCTTGTGTCATTTTTTAAATAATATTTTTTAAAATTACCAACCACTATAAGAAGCGCTGCTCTTATATTATTAATACTTCCAGTTTGGTATACAGTACTTTTCTATACTAAAAGAAGAATCATTTTATTTTTTTCCAGCTTTATTGAGGTATGTTTGACAAATAAATGTATACAATTAAAGTGCACAATGTGATGATTTGCTATATGTATACACTGTGAAATGATTACCACAATCAAGCTAATGAACATATTCATCATCTCAAATAGGTGCCCTTATTTTCTAGGAGAAACATTTTATATTGCCTCTTCATCACAGTCTGAATTCTGAGTGTCATTTCTGTCCTTCCTGGTCCCTTTTTGCGAGGACAGAGTGGTTCTCTGCATTCTTTAAAAGATATTTTTATTGGTATCTTTTCTTTTTTTTCTTTTTGTCCCTGTAATTTTAAGGTCCTTTTATTTGCTGGTCTTCAAATTCAAAATAGGTGCTTGTTTATAACCAGTGAAACAATGCAATACAAGGATGTATAAAGACAAAGCTAATCATCCCCACCTCAACCTCCTGATGTAATCAATATTAAGAGCTTGCTGAGTATTCTTCCATAACTCTCTTTGTTCATACGAACAGATCAAACCTATGTGCACGTTTGTTTCCACCAAAACATAATCATATAATATGCAGTATTCTGCAATTTGTTTCACTTAACTATATAGGTATATATACATACATACATATATATTTTATATAATATGTGAAATAGACTATATTACTTAACAAAATATAATGAAAATATTCCACGGTCTTAAATTCTTTTCCAGTTCTAAAATTCATTTTTTCTTTTCCAGCGGGCCCACTGTCAGAAATAAAATTCATTTTGGTATTCCTTTAGAAAACATACCACCATTATAATTATTTGTAATAAATTGTTTAATGTCTTTCTTCCCCACTTGACTGACAGCTCCATGAAGTCAGGGTACTTATTTTGCTCACCACTGTATCTCCAGATTTTAAGATAGTGTTGCCAGGATAGTAACTACCTACAATATATTTGTTCATTGTTTCAGAGTTCCCTGAAACCTTCAGTCTACTTAAACTAGGTCACTGACAACACTCAAATACATGTGTGTCTTTAGGAACTCAGGCCCGAGTAAGTCACCACTCAATTTTATCTTAATGGAACCTAGTAACAATACACTTTAAATAATTGTAAAAATTTGGGCTTTTTAGCAAAAAGCCTTCTGCCACAAAAATGAATTTTTTTTTTTTTTTTGAGATGGAGTCTTGCTCACTCTCCCAGGCTGGAGTGCAGTGGCACGATCTCGGCTCACTGCAACCTCCACCTCCCAGGTTCAAGCAATTCTTCTGCCTCAGCCTCCCGAGTAGCTGGGATTACAAGCATGAGCCACCACGCCCGACTAATTTTTATTTTATTTTATTTTATTTTATTTTATTTTATTTTATTTTTTTTTTTTGAGATGGAGTCTCGTTCTGTCGCCCAGGCTGGAGTGCAGTGGCGCTATCTGGGCTCACTGCAGGCTCTGCCCCGGGGTTCACGCCATTCTCCTGCCTCAGCCTCCCGAGTAGCTGGGACTACAGGCGCCCGCCACCTCGCCCGGCTAATTTTTTGTATTTTTAGTAGAGACGGGGTTTCACTGTGTTAGCCAGGATGGTCTCGATCTCCTGACCTCGTGATCCGCCCGCCTCGGAGTCTCGCTCTTTCGCCCAGGCCAGACTGCAGTGGCGCTATCTCGGCTCACTGCAAGCTCCGCCTCCCGGGTTCACGGCATTCTCCTGCCTCAGCCTCCCGAGTAGCTGGGACTACAGGCGCATGCCACCGCGCCCGGCTAATTTTTTGTATTTTTAGTAGAGACAGGGTTTCACCGTGTTAGCCAGGATGGTCTTGATCTCCTGACCTCAGGTGATCCACCTGCCTCGGCCTCCCACAGTTTTGGGATTACAGGCGTGAGCCACTGCGCCTGGCCAAAAATGAATTTTAAAAGACAGATCGGTGGCTCACACCTGTAATCCCAGCACTGTGGAAGGCCGAGGCGGGTGGAACACCTGAGGTCAGGAGTTCGAGACCAGCCTGGCCAACACGGCGAAACCCCGTCTCTACTAAAAAAAAAAATAATAATAACCAGACGTGGTGGCGCACACCTGTAATCCTAGCCACTAGGGAGGCTGAGGCAGGAGAATCACTTGAACCCGGGAGGCAGAGGCTGCAGTGAACCGAGATCCCGCCATTGCACTCCAGCCTGGGCAAAAAGAACGAAACTCGGTCTCAAAAAAAAAAAAAAAAAAAAGAGACACATCAAATATTTCGTGGAAAGAGAGCTCTGCACTCTTAATTAGAAGACCTGGGGGCCGTGCGCAGTGGCTCAAGCCTGTAATCCCAGCACTTTGGGAGGCCGAGGCGGGTGGATCACCTGAGGTCAGGAATTCAAGACCAGCCTGGCCAACCCCGTCTCTACTAATAATACAAAAATTAGCCGGGCGTGGTGGCGGGCGTCTGTAATCCCAGCTGCTAGGGAGGCTGAGGTAGAAGAATCGCTTGAACCCGGGAGGCAGAGGTTGCAGTGAGCCGAGATCGTGCCATTGCACTCCAGCCTGGGCAACAAGAGTGAAACTCCGTCTCAAAAAAAAAAAAAAAAGAGACCTGGATTCCAGTCCCACCTCTGCCATTAACTTGCTGTGTGGACTTTTGAAATTTCCTTATCCTTTTTAGGCCTGGTTCCTCAGCTGTAGTTCTAATATTCATTAATTCCACTAATATTTACTGTCCACTGCGTGCTGGCACTGTGGTTAAGTACTAGAAATACTGGGGTGAATAATAACAGCCAGTACTTTTTAGTAAATGCTTACTCTAGGCTTGAAATTTTGCTAAGGGAGTCATATGCACTATCTCATCTAATTTTCTATGAAATAGGCACTACTGTGACATTTTCTGTACTTTACAAATGAGGGAACTGAGGCACAGCGAGGTGAAATAACTTTCCTGGGATATCAAAAGGTGTGGTGAAGACAGGATTGGATTCCAGGCAGTGGGGCTTCAGATCTCATTCCAGTAATAATAGGAAACCGTTGGTGTCATAATTACGTGACTATTTCAGTGGCTTGCGTTTTGGTCTCAGCCCAGGAGTACTGGGGGGGTGGGCAATATGAGGGTTCAAGGACGCAGGGGTACATCAGAGAAACCATCAAGAGGTCTGATAAAAAGCGACACCGGGAGCAAGAATCTCTCGCTCTCGCAATTTCCATGCCAGGAAGGTGAAATGGGAGGTGTCAGCGAGTCGTACGCACGGCCTCTTCTCTGGACGCCCGTTGGGTAAAGGAGAGCGTCCGGGTCACGCAGGCCTATAGCAAGTCTCTGAACTCGGCAGGGGGCGGGGAGAAAGGGCACGCAGTGTGCGCGCAGCGGGCGCGCCGGCCCTTCCGACGCCTGCGCGGGCGGGCAAACGGACGGCTCCGCCCAGCCGCCGGCTCCTTTACCCCGCCCCACTACCCCCGCCTTCGCGGCGCTCGTTTCCTGGCGCTCCCCACCTTTAGCGAGACCAACGAGAGAACACCGCCTGCAGCTAGAACAGCCTGGTCAGGAGCGTAACGGAGTGGTGCGCCAACGTGAGAGGAAACCCGTGCGCGGCTGCGCTTTCCTGTCCCCAAGCCGTTCTAGACGCGGGTGAGTGGCGGGGCCTCGACCCCCACCCCAAGCGCACCCTGACTCCCCTCCCTCTCTTGGGGGAGGCCTGGGCCCCAGCCCTCTCCCAGCATGCTCCACGCGGGATGCTTGGGCAGGTGCAGCGGGAGGATTGTCAGCACAGGAGACCGAGAGTCTTCTTCCTGGGGGCGCTCTCTTGGTCCCTCAGAGGGATATCGAGGTTACCATGTCCTCCCTCTCACTTCTCTTCCCTATTTCGTCTTCGTTTTCCGTACTTCACCCCAACTACCTTCACCCAAAAAGGTTCATCTAAAAACCATTGGGGTAGTTTCTGTTTCATTTGTGCTCGTGTGCAGTTTTGTTTCCTTCTGCACAAAGTATCCTATCATATGCATCCCTAGTGTTATATTTTTTGCCTCTGTGATGGGGAAAAAATCTCCTTAGAATAATTTTTGCAAATTATTTTATTTAAAATGTGTAGACTTACTGAGTTTTGATCACTATTTTTGCAGCCAGGAGTAGGATCACCATCAGGAAGAATTCTGACACATATGCCATAATTGAGCAAAGAAACATGTGAATTATGTATTGGCCAGAAATAATGAAAACTGCGTGACATGAAATACAAAAATCCTATATAAATTAATCTTAGAGTGCACCTGACAATTCTTTTTCTTTTTTCTTTCTTTCTTTCTTTTTTTTTTTTGAAACAGAGTCTCGCTCTTGTTGCCCAGGCCGGAGTGCTGTGGTGCGATCTTGGCTCACTGCCTGCAACCTCCGCCTCCCGGGTTCAAGCAATTCTCCTGCCTCAGCCTCCTGAGTAGCTGGGATTACAGTCATATGCCACCATGCCCGGCTAATTTTTGTATTTTTAGTCGAGACAGGGTCTCACCATGTTGGCCAGGCTGGTCTTGAACTCCCTACCTCAGGTGATCCACCTGCCTCGGCCTCCCAAAGTGCTGGGATTACAGGCGTGAGCCACCGCACACAGCCGACAATTCTAATATTATGCCGAGCTTGTTTTCTGTCACTTCTCTTCTTGGAACTGTGTTTATTGACCAAGTTCTGTGAGTGACACAGGAAAGTCTTCCTGCCTCTTGCCCCACCCACCGCTCAGAAATTACATCTGCCAAGCTATTCCACACCTTGTCTTTCTGGTAGAAGTCAAAATTCCATTTCCTCTAGCAGAAAACCACAGGAGTGGTTTCCTTGTAGCAATATGGTGCTGTTGGGTGCAAAATATCAGTTATGGTCAACAGATCCCACTTTTTTCCCATTTGTATGAAAACAAGGATATTCAGTAACCCATTTATTAAACTCTAATGTGGTAGAAGCACTATGGCAATTATTCTTCTGTAATGGAAAAAAACCATTAAACTGATATTGAGAAATGTGGTTTCTAGTCCACTTATACCACTGTCTAACTGTGTGACTGAGTCAGTTATTTAACCTCTGTGGACTTCCATTTCCTCTCTGTAAAATGAGAGAAGTGACTGACATTGGGTAGTTTTCTAAGGCTCCTTTCAACCATAAGAGAAAACTGGGAAGTCTAAGTAGCTCAATAGATTGCTTTTTTCTGAAGATGGAGGGAAGATTGGAAAATTCAGCCTTTACTAGAATAAATGGTTAACATACAATTTTTTTCAACAAGTTTATTTAATGTCAGCTTTTAATTTCTTTTATTTATTTATTTTTTCTGAGACAGAGTCTCACTCTGATGCCCTGGCTGGAGTGCCGTGGTGAGATCACAGCTCACTACAGCCTCCGCTTCCCAAGTTCAAGAGACTCTTGTGCCTCAGCCTCCCGAGTAGCTGGGATTACAGGCACCCACCACCACGTCTGGCTAATTTTTTGGATTTTGGGTAGAGACAAGGTTTCACCATGTTGCCCAGGCTGGTCTCGAACTCCTGAACTCAAGGGATCCACCCACCTCAGCCTCCCAAAGTGCTGAGATAACAGCCATGAGCCACTGCACCTGCCTCTTAATTTCTAATTGAAATAAAAGTGTAAATTTTTCCATTTTTACTTCCCCAAAGAAGAAGAAAATTCCTTTTGAGGAAATGAAAATGTTTATTAATGGGCCCCAGATATATCTATCAATATTCCTTTTTGATCCAAAAGATGTAACTTTTTATTATGGGCTTCTATTACATCAATAGTTGGGATACTGTATTGGAAACCATTTAGTTTTAGGAACAAAAGGGTAAATATTAACCTATATGGTGTTATTCTCAAGAAACTTGGTTTAGATTTACTCAAAACACTTAAGGACAGCAGCCATCAGTTAAAGAAAGCACTATGTTGAGAACAGAAATGTCAGCACAATACCATTGGTGATTTGCCATTTATAGGTGGTTTTATCTGTTCAACCCAAGGTTTTGGTGTAAAAGTTCACTATATTTTTAGAGGTATTTAAATAATGCAAGCTTGTGATGTGAAATTCTTTAAAGAGAATGGTGGATGGATAACCTCTGTAACACTGGTTTCAAGGGTTTATTAAATCCCCATAGATGAAGTGCAAAACAAACTTCTCCATAGAGGAGTTGTTGCAAAGTTCCAGTTTATACCAAACAGTAATCAGATTCCATTGGAAGCTAAAGATTTTGAGAGCCTTTTGTACTATATGCAACTAACTTGATTTCAAGCTTGGGAACCTTTTAAAAAAAACATTAAAAGCAAAATGTAAGTATATAAGGAATACCAAATCAAATTTATAGACTAATCTTTTTCTATTAAGTATTTTAAGAGTCTTTTTCTTCTTTATAGGAAAAATGCTTTCTGAAAGCAGCTCCTTTTTGAAGGGTGTGATGCTTGGAAGCATTTTCTGTGCTTTGATCACTATGCTAGGACACATTAGGATTGGTCATGGAAATAGAATGCACCACCATGAGCATCATCACCTACAAGCTCCTAACAAAGAAGATATCTTGAAAATTTCAGAGGATGAGCGCATGGAGCTCAGTAAGAGCTTTCGAGTATACTGTATTATCCTTGTAAAACCCAAAGATGTGAGTCTTTGGGCTGCAGTAAAGGAGACTTGGACCAAACACTGTGACAAAGCAGAGTTCTTCAGTTCTGAAAATGTTAAAGTGTTTGAGTCAATTAATATGGACACAAATGACATGTGGTTAATGATGAGAAAAGCTTACAAATACGCCTTTGATAAGTATAGAGACCAATACAACTGGTTCTTCCTTGCACGCCCCACTACGTTTGCTATCATTGAAAACCTAAAGTATTTTTTGTTAAAAAAGGATCCATCACAGCCTTTCTATCTAGGCCACACTATAAAATCTGGAGACCTTGAATATGTGGGTATGGAAGGAGGAATTGTCTTAAGTGTAGAATCAATGAAAAGACTTAACAGCCTTCTCAATATCCCAGAAAAGTGTCCTGAACAGGGAGGGATGATTTGGAAGATATCTGAAGATAAACAGCTAGCAGTTTGCCTGAAATATGCTGGAGTATTTGCAGAAAATGCAGAAGATGCTGATGGAAAAGATGTATTTAATACCAAATCTGTTGGGCTTTCTATTAAAGAGGCAATGACTTATCACCCCAACCAGGTAGTAGAAGGCTGTTGTTCAGATATGGCTGTTACTTTTAATGGACTGACTCCAAATCAGATGCATGTGATGATGTATGGGGTATACCGCCTTAGGGCATTTGGGCATATTTTCAATGATGCATTGGTTTTCTTACCTCCAAATGGTTCTGACAATGACTGAGAAGTGGTAGAAAAGCGTGAATATGATCTTTGTATAGGACGTGTGTTGTCATTATTTGTAGTAGTAACTACATATCCAATACAGCTGTATGTTTCTTTTTCTTTTCTAATTTGGTGGCACTGGTATAACCACACATTAAAGTCAGTAGTACATTTTTAAATGAGGGTGGTTTTTTTCTTTAAAACACATGAACATTGTAAATGTGTTGGAAAGAAGTGTTTTAAGAATAATAATTTTGCAAATAAACTATTAATAAATATTATATGTGATAAATTCTAAATTATGAACATTAGAAATCTGTGGGGCACATATTTTTGCTGATTGGTTAAAAAATTTTAACAGGTCTTTAGCGTTCTAAGATATGCAAATGATATCTCTAGTTGTGAATTTGTGATTAAAGTAAAACTTTTAGCTGTGTGTTCCCTTTACTTCTAATACTGATTTATGTTCTAAGCCTCCCCAAGTTCCAATGGATTTGCCTTCTCAAAATGTACAACTAAGCAACTAAAGAAAATTAAAGTGAAAGTTGAAAAATATCCCTGAGAAAAAAAACTGAAAATTACTTACAAAATTGAGTAATTTTCCTGGAAGCGAATTTAGTGTCATTCCTCAGAGCATACGCAATTTCAGTGTAACTGTCTGTACTTCAGCCTGCAGATACTGACATTGGATTGGTGCCTATGAAGAATGTCATGTCATTTAATTGTGTTGTTTCTCAGTTAATCAAGCTCCCAGCTGCAATTTGGATAAAAATGTAGTCCTGCTGGGTCAATGAGTTCTGTGGAAATTTGAAGAACTTGTTTTGGCCATCTGGCAGTTTCACTTACCTGAGTTGAATCTGTTCTGTATTTTGTTTTGTTTTGTTTTGTTTTTTTGACACAGAGTTTTGCTCTGTCGCCCAGACTGGAGTGCAATGGCACAATCTCGGCTCACTGCAACCTCTGCCTCCTGGTTTCAAGCAGTTCCCTTGCCTCAGCCTTCCAAGTAGCTGGGATTACAGGTGCCCACCACCACACCTGGCTAATTTTTTGTATTTTTAGTAGAGATGGGGTTTTGCCATGTTGGCCAGGCTGGTCTCGAACTCCTGACCTCAGGTGATCACCCGCCTCGGCCTCCCAAAGTTCTGAGATTACAGGCATGAGTCCCTGCGCCCAGCCTGTTCTGGATTTTGTTTCCTTGTACAAGTTCAGGGAATTTTCCCATGTTCACAGCTGTACCATATCTGTTTTCAGTGTGGAGGTCCTAACCTATCTACTTTGCATTACCATACCTTTTCCCAAATTTCAATGGCTACTCAGAAACTTAATCCAGTGGTAAATGCAATAGCTCCTGTACTGATAAATGTGTGAAATACTTAGAGCTGACTTGTTCTGCAATCTGGCCAGCACATGCTGTGAGTCCGCATAGAGTGTTAGAGCATGACATTTTAGAGATCAATATTTCTTGTAACTGGCCTCATGATGGTAATGGTCTCCCACAGCTTTAGCAAACCAGAAAGAAAATTTCCTTAAGATGGCCTTGGGCTTGAAGTTATTGATCCTCAGGGTAGTGTGTAAAACTTTGCTTTATTTCTGATTATTCTCATTGAGGGTTTTGGTTAAGATGAAGCGTTATTAGTTTTGAAGAATAACAAAACCCCTTTATGAAGCCCCCTAATATGTGGTCTCAGATGCAATTACTACAATCAAATCATGTTCAATGTGAGTACAGTAATAAACAGTATCTCTCAGAGTGTGACACAGCTTATCTGTCACCTTGCCCCCAACACCAGTATATTTAAAATTTTTCTATTGCATTTATCATCTTCACTTACATTAGTACATCAGAGTATCATCATAAACATGTCAGAATGCATTGCA
This sequence comes from Homo sapiens, assembly GCF_000001405.40. NCBI lineage: Eukaryota > Metazoa > Chordata > Mammalia > Primates > Hominidae > Homo > Homo sapiens. The sequence goes on along the minus strand of NW_021160027.1, from coordinate 24,418 downwards.
TTGTGTGTTTTGCTAATGAGTACTAAGGTAACATTGCCTTTTAAGCCAAATTGATGCTCTTGATTGTATCTTTATACATATTTTTTTTTTTTGAGACGGAGTTTCGCTCTTGTTGCCCAGGTTGGAGTGCAATGGCGTGATCTCGGCTCATCCCAACCTCCACCTCCCGGGTTCAAGCAATTCTCCTGCCTCAGCCTCCCGAGTAGCTGGGATTACAGGTATGTGCCACCACGCCCAGCTAATTTTGTATTTTTAGTAGAGACAGGGTTTCTCCACGTTGATCAGGCTGTTCTCAAGCTCCTGGCCTCAGGTGATCCGCCCGCCTCGGCCTCCCAAAGTACTGGGATTACAGGCGTGAGTCACTGCGCCCGGCCGATACTGAGTATTTTTTTAACGAAATGTTAGGTGTCTCAAATAATATGCTGTCTCTCTGAACTTACTTGCAGCCAGTCTTGCAGATAAAATCTGAATCAATAACAGAAAATAGTACTACTGAGGTTGTGGTTACAGATTTGATCACCATATATGTCTGTTAGCTTTACATAGAAAAATAATATATTCAGTAACCGAAAACAATAACCCTAACCCCACTCATGATGAGAGAGTTGGAAAAAATGGAGGTCTGATGGAAATTGATCGGGATTGTGAATATACTCTACATACGGCTAGTGGCTGTCATATTGGACAGCACAGGTCTAAGCAATTCTAAGTGTAAGATCCCACTCCTGGCTGAGATGTGAATAAGAGAAAACTTGAAGTTTCCTCTAAAAGTTGTATTTGTTTGTCTGGTTGTCTCAAATGCAATGGAAACCACAGCATGACTTTTAGCAGGCCCCAGACCATTGCCTTGTGTGAGTTCAATCACTGAATCTTCCTTTTCAAAAGTAAAACATTGGATCTGGAGCAAAATATAGATTTAGACCCCTTGGCTATTTTCTGGGGCGGTGGGCTGGCAGGGGAGTAAGCTAAAAGGTTGCTTGTGTATCAAATCTGATTCATAATGCCCAGATTTTTCTATAATGCATTTAAACAAACTCAGTTATTGGGTGTTCTTAAAGCAGGGCATACCTGTAATAGAAAAGTTGCTGAAAATATAGTCTAATGATGATGTACCGCTAATTTCCCTTTCATTTGTTAAGAATATTGTGTTCTGGCTGGGCACAGTGGCTCATGCCTGTAATCCCAGCACTTTGGGAGGCTGAGGCTGGCAGATCACCTGAGGTCAGGAATTCAAGACCAGCCTGGCCAACATGGTGAAACCCTGTGTCTACTAAAAATAGAAAAACTAGCTGGGCGTGGTGGCGGGCACCTGTAATCCCAGCTACTCGGGAGGCTGAGGCAGAAGAATTGCTTGAACCTGGGAGGTGGAGGTTGCAGTGAGCCAAAATCGTGCCATTGCACTGCAGCCTGGGGGACAAGAGCGAGACTCCATCTCAAAAAAAAAAAAAACAATATTGTGTTCCTTTTGGTATGGGCTGACTTTGATGCACTCAGTACTTGCCTGAGTGGTTATGTGAGAAGCATATGTTTATAGAAGTTAGCTTTCTTTTGGCATACAAAGACATTCAGCAATGTTTATCAACTCCCCCCCAAAAAAATATTGCCCCAAATTTTAAAAATAACTATACTTGACAGTTTTTACAAGTTTGAAAAAAATGACAAAAAATAACTATAGTCAATAACTCTAATATAACCAAAAATAGAATACTATAAAGCATTTAAAGGGTAATGGGAAAATGACTTGTTTGGAAAGTATAAAATGATGACATAGTGTATCTCTAGGGTCTCTACCATAATAAAAAAAATCCAGCTTTACTAGTGTGGCATCCATACACTATAATTTTCTTTGTATATATTGGGTATCTATGAGGTCAACAGTAGGCAGTAGGCCTGGTACTTTGTGGAAAGCAGAAAGAGCCCAAACTCATAATTCATCATAGTCAAATAATCATTTCACATAAGCTTTGCATGAGCAATAAGACAAACTGTAATTTAATAATGTAGTACTAGAATATAGTGGTCAGCCCTTTTGTCTTAAAATTCCTGGATTTGATCAATGCTTTTTTTTTTTTTTTTTTTTGCCCAGGCTGGAGTGCAGTGGCACGGTCTTGGCTCACCGCAACCTCTGCCTCCCGAGTTCAAGCGTTTCTCCTGCCTCAGCCTCCCAAATAGCTGGGATTACAGGCATACACCACCACACTCGGCTAATTTTTGTATTTTTAGTAGAGACGGGATTTCACCATGTTGGCCAGGCTGGTCTCAAACTCCTGACCTCAAGTAATCCACCCGTCTTGGCCTCCCAAAGTGCTGGGAATACAGGCATGAGCCACTGCGCCCTGCCTGATAAATGCTATTTCTTCTAACCCACATAGTTCCCATTTCTTTAGGTTTCTACTGATTACATGCAAGAATAGCCACATTGGTTATGCCATTGCTTTGGAAATTTGGCAAAAACCCTAGCAGAAAGAGCAGGACTTAAAAATAAGACTCAGGTTTTAGAGAGATAAATAGGATAACTGCCTTTAATGAGTGACAGACTTCCATTAGAAAAAAAAAATGCTTTGATCTAGTGAGTGAATGATACAGACATCCACCTAGTTACCCAAAGTGTTGAATTAATGGAAATATTCTAATAGTCAAAATACCACCCCTGTACCATCTGAGGGGAAGAGGGAAAAACTTCCTGGCTTGATGGAAGACTGAATGCTGGCACTGAGAATCTTTTTCATACTTACCACTTTAAAGCACTTGCCTCTAGCACGAAGCTTCAGGGAATACTGCCTTTTCTCCAACCCATCGCCGTCCAATAGATAAAACATGAGCCATATATAATTTCACATATTCTTTCTTTCTTTTGAGATGGAGTCTCACTCTGTCGCCCAGGCTGGAGTGCAGTGGCGCAATCTCGGCTCACTGCAAGCTCCGCCTCCCGGGTTCATGCCATTCTCCTGCCTCAGCCTCCCGAGTAGCTGGGACTACAGGCACCCGCCACCGCGCCCGGCTCATTTTTTGTATTTTTAGTAGAGACGGGGTTTCACCGTGTTAGCCAGGATGGTCTCGATCTCCTGACCTCGTGATCCGCCCGCCTCGGTCTCTCAAAGTGCTGGGATTACAGGCGTGAGCCACCGCGCCCAGCCTTTAATTTCACATTTTCTAATAGTCACATTTAAAAAGTAAAGACACAGGTGAAATTACTTTTAGTAATATATTTTATTTAACCCAAACATATCCAAAATATTATCATTTCAATATATAATCAACAGGAAAGAATAGATAATTTACATTATTTATTAAGTCTTTGAAATCCAGGGTGTATTTTAGTTACAGCACATCTTAATTCAAACTAGTCACATTTCAAGTTCTCAGTGGCCACATATGGATGGGCAGAGGCTACCATATTAGATAGCATAGGTCTAAGCAAGTCCAGAAGTATGAGACCCCCCAATAGCTAAACATGAATGGGAGAAAACTTAGTTTCTTCTAAAAGTTGTATTTATTTTTCTGATTTTCTTGAATGCAATGGAAACTGCAACCTGACTTTTAGCAAGCCCCAGGCCATCTCCTTGCATGACTTTAATCACTGGATTTTTCTTCCCAAAAATTAAATCATTGGATCCGGAGCAAAATGTAGATTAGGCCCCTCAATGTTTTTTCCCTTAAATTATAACTGAACCCAAACTCTTCCTGTCATTAATTTTAATATCTTTTTTTTTTTTTTAGACGGAGTCTTGCTCTGTCGCCCAGGCTGGAGTGCAGTGGCACAATCTCGGCTCACTGCAACCTCCGCCTCCCAGGTTCAAGCAAATCTCCTGCCTCAGCCTCCTGTGTAGCTGGGATTACAGGCACGCGCCACCACGCCCGGCTAATTTTTTTTTTTTTTTTTTTTTTTGTATTTTTAGTAGAGACAGGATTTCACCATGTTGGCCAGGGTGGTCTCAATCTTCTGACCTCATGATCCACCCACCTTGGCTCCCAAAGTGCTGGGATTACAGGCACGCGCCACCATGCCCAGCTAATTTTTGTTTTTTGTTTGGTTGGTTTTTGAGACGGAGTTTCGCTCTGTTGTCCAGGCTGGAATGCAGTGGTGCGATCTCAGCTCACTGCAAGCTCCGCCTCCCGGGTTCATGCCACTCTCCTGCCTCAGCCTCCCGAGTAGCTGGGACTACAGGCGCCCACCACTGCGTCCGGTTAATTTTTTGTATTTTTAGTATAGACGGGGTTTCACGTTAGCCAGGATGGTCTCGATCTCCTGACCTCGTGATCCGCCCACCTTGGCCTCCCAAAGTACTGGGATTACAGGCGTGAACCACCGTGCCCGGCCTTCCCCAGATATCTTCAAAGCAACTGCTAGTCCTGCTTTTGCACATTACACTCTACATTCTCATTGCCCCACTTAACTAACCCTCCCTCATGTCCTTTTCTAAAGATGTAGAAGACTTTGAAATAGCATAACATTTAAATGGTCACAAATCACCTGGCTTGAAAGTGACTAATAATAGGAAAATCAGACCTCAGGACTGAGTTCAATTTCAAGATTCTCCCACTCCACTTTGCTAAGAGGGAAACAGAAAAACATTACTCCAGCCACACAAATATGATACTGTGCAAGTATCCCACTCTTACTCATTCAAATCCTACCCATTTTTTCCCATCGTGGAACAGAGTCTTGCCAACTTATACCTCTCTCCAATAACCCATAAAGATGGTGATTTGAATTTGGGCCAAGATTTAACATTTTATGAAATACAAGAGGAGAGTTTTCTGCAAAACACAGGATTTGCAGACAAGGAGACTTAGGTTCAAATTCCAGTTCTGCCATTTATTACCTCAGAGAGGTCATACAACTTTCCTGAAGTTGTATGACCTCTCTGAGCCTTAGTCTCCTCGTTTGTAAAATGAGAGTTAAAATCTACCTCATGGAATCATTGCTAAGATTAAGCAAGATATATAAGTAGAGCTTGTGCACATGGTAGGTACTTGGAGAATGTTATTTCTCCTTCCCTCTTACTCATCTGGACAAGTTTAACTAGAATTCTAAACAGTTAAATATGTATCAATCCTTTGTATTAAATATCTTGATGGTAAAATGTTAAAATATTGATGTGAATAACAGCTGGTATTGAATATTCAAATTAGGGGAACTCTTTCATTGTTTTAAGATAACATCTGTACATTTAATCTGTGCCATGCAATAAAACAGCTTTTCCTGAAACAGCTTTTTAAAAACTATTTTTAAGAAATTCATAAGTTACTTTTAAGAACATTAGCTTAGAACATCTTCCCCTTTCACAACAAATTAGACATTAGAGCCAAAATTGCCCAAATTGGTATAGTTTCTATCTCCCTACACTTTAATCAAGATGTTTGTCTTTATATCAGCAAAAACCGCTACTTAAGTGAGATTCCTGCATCCCAATAAATGTATCTGGGCATTTGGTACTTGAGAGAGGATTGGGTTTGACAACACCCAGAAGCTAATGAGGATGTGCCTTCTCTCAGACCTTTGCATTCAGGAGCAAGAAAGCAGAAATACTTTGTGGACTCCTTTTCAGACACTTTACAAAATACAAAATTTTAACCTTGTGAAACACAAAATAAATGCAGGATAAATGTCCAAACATTTTAGCCCCTACTGTTTTTGAAACTGAATAAAGCCATGATAGTGAAAAATATTTTCCAGTCAGTGCTTTTTGGAAGCTATTTAGTAGATATTAATTTGATGGGTTAGAGATTGCTATTATCCCATTAAATGAAGCTGTTTCTACTTCATATTCAAATATATTTCAAGTTGAACTTGCTTAAATCTAAAATGCTTACACAAGCAAACTGTGGAAAGAATTTAGTCACGCAAAAGAAAACTTTTTCTTAATCCTGGATAAGTCAACTCTAAGAAAGCTGTCCAGAGCCTACAGAGCAAAAAGGACTTTCCTTCCAGCCTCCTCACCATGTCCAATCTAGTCCAGATGTGAAGAGTCAATTTTGGTTTTAAACAAAATTTGCATGCAGCAGCATTAGAACTAATGAAAACAGTATCCAGACTAAGACGTGCATACAAAATCTTTCACATCATGAGAAACTAAAAATTTGTTAAAACATCAGTCGGCAGGAACAGACATCTCAAGCTCCACTGATAAGGGAAGCAAAACTGGAACTACATGCCGCTTTTAAAAGTGTCTCAAATTTAAGCTCACTCAAGGACTATTAATAGACAGTGTCAAACTGACATGCCGTTTCATCATTAAATCATCTTATTGGTTTGCAAGTTTCCAAGCCTCAGGGCTTCATTATGCATCAGCATAGGACAACACCAGAATTTGGGGACAAAGACAACATCCCTTTTTGAAAGAGGTGGTAAGAATAAAAACAGGTTGGCCAACCTTGGAAGCCACCGCAGTATGGCTTCCCATGAACCAAAAAGGCAATTGAATTGTATTTGTTTTCAAGGCATACGTTTGGAAAAATAGCACTTTTTCCAAGCATGTGCTTAGTTAGAACAAATGATTTATTGCTTAAAACCCAGTCTTTTACTCACACGCTTGTGAAAATAAGAAGAAATTACCTATTTCACCATAGATTATTAAATGGACGTTAACAGTTATTGACAATCGAGTCTTGTGATAAGAAATTAAAATTATAAAGTAAATCTTCCCGTCTTTAAATTCTAGGTGGTAGAGTTCTGAGAACACTTACAATGAACTTTAAGGGAGTAATTGATTATGCTTTTGAAGTCTCCTATATTCACATATTGGCTGAAAGTAAAGCATTTTAAAATTGGAGAATGAAATGAAGAGCAATAACATTTGTTATATGAAAACTGTGGTTTTACTTTTAAAATGGGATTTTAAAAATGTATTAGTTGGGTCGGGTGTGGTGGTTCACACCTGTAATCCCAGCACTTTGGGAGGCCAAGGCGGGTGCATCACCTGAGGTCAGGAGTTTGAGACCAGCCTGGCCAACATGGTGAAACCCTGTCTCTACTAAAAATACAAAAATTAGCTAGGTGTGGTGGCACACGCATGGGATCCCAGCTACTCGGGAGGCTGAGGCAGGAGAATCGCTTGAACCCGGAAGACAGAGGTTGCAGTGAGCCGAGATCGTGCCATTGCACTCCAGCCTGGGCAATGAAGCAAGACTCCATCTCAAAAACAACAACAACAACAACAACAACAAATGTATGAGTTGGATGAGTTTAATTTTTTGCTTTCTGTTTCTGCCTAAAGATAAACCAATTTAGCATATATTGATATTAAGATGTCTGCCATATTTTGAACGTTAGCCTGTTGATTTACAGTCTTCCAAATAAGACTGATGCCTGAAGCTCATTTTTTGGTTAACTGCTTCTGTTAGTTGCACACCTTTTCCTACCTTCCTCTAATCTTAAGTCTATTTAGTCATTTGAAATATCAGTTTTCACCTGTTAGTATTACTAGCTATGTTTGCTATATTTCACAAATACATTTCTAAAACAATCCATTAATTAGAATTGGACATTAATAGTGAGGCATGTCATTCTCTGTAACAACTAAGATTTTAAGTAGAAATTATTTCACTAATTCATCTTTTATTTCTCAAAGTATTCAAGGCTAAAATTTGGAGTTCTTTAATTTTCATTCTAAGAGGCAAGTATTAATTATACTAATGAGTTCAGATGTTTTTATTTATTTTTCCTCCCAATGACCTATTCTTAATGAACATGGTATTATTAAGAGACATTCCAGTGAATCATCTCCTGTATTTTTTTACATGCATAAATTATATTCCCTAAGGCCAGACTCTTAAACAGACAGATGAACCTAATAGTCTCAACAATGATTTAAAAACTGGCCCTCAATTTTCTTCATTCATTCCTGATCTCGTGGAGTTGTGGTCCTTTACTTGGTTTTAACACAGTATTCAACAAATTGTTGTTATAGTTGATAACATCTACTCATTCTTTTACCTGCCTTAAAAAGTGTAATAAAAGTATTCATACAAAGTATAAAATACATACAAGTATAAAAATGTATAATACATTTAATTTACATGCATCTCTACAATGACAAGTATGATTTCTTTAGAAACTGATGCATACATTTTCACTGTTTTTCTTTCATTATATATCAGTTTTAATGCATACTACTTAGAAATTAGAATCATTTTGAGTTTCTTGAAGAGCCTTGATAATTATAGTCTCAAAATTAAGGAACCTAGACAAACAAAGTTAAAATATTTATGACATTTTGCTTGGGCATACATTCATATTTCCATTAATATATAATTGCTACATTATTAATAAGTGACATATTTATTATAATGAAACACCTCCACGAATTTAGTGAATTGTAATTCTTATCTCTTCCTCTGAAGTATTATACTTAGAAATACGTATCTTCAGTTACTGATTTGGGTACGACAGGGAACCTGGCTGGATATCATTATTATTTGATATATGCCATATAACCTTCTGTTTGGGGAATATAAAATCCCTCAAATTGGAAATGTTCATGACTACCCATGGGATAAATCCAGCTGTTTTTGTTTGGGGTCCAGAGCATAAAAACAGAAAAGGAAAAATGCAGCTTCCCAACAGACCACTACCAAACCACCATAACAGACAGTCTGCTAGAAGAGAACTGATCAGGCCATTATGTCACCGGACAACAGGACAATCATCTGAGTTGGGATGCTGAATCACGGCAACTCCAAGACATCTGGGATTTTTTTTTTACCCTCACATTGGATACAATCTATGGAATATTACTACATTTAGTTCATTTGTAATTTACAATTTTTGATGACTAAAATTGGAAAAGGATTAGTACATTCCTACTGGCTTTACATATTAGTATTGGGCTGTCACCATTACCCAGATTATTTAAAATGTAAATTTTCTTTACTCACTAGATTGGAAGCTCCTTAAGAGCAAGGGCTACTTCTGTATTATTCATCTTCATGCCACGTCACTTAGAACCTAGTAGATACTCAATAAATACCTATTGAGCTGAACTGACCTTGTCTGAGTAAAAGTGAGTCCAATACACAAGTTACTAGATTGTAGGTTGGTTTGACACAAACTTAATTTTGAAACTAAAAATGAACTAAAGACACACTGCCTGAGAGAAGCAGGCTCTCTATCCCTGTATTCCTATTCTCACGAATATAGGTAAACTAAGTTTCCATTAAGCACAGTATCTAAAGATGCTGACACATCTGCTAGTTTAATCTCTTTGAATTGCCTTTCATGTATGACCTAATGTTTAGAAAATGACAAGGATCACACATGTAGAGTGACATCCCTGATTAACAGTGATGAGCAGAGGCCTCAGACCCAGGGGAAGCAGAGAACATACATATTTAGTCCATATCACCAAGGCAACACAGTGTACCTCAGCACAGTAGAAAAACAAGCACAGATGTTGATGTTGAATATTTAAAAAGTGTTCCTTACACCCACTGTAACAGTGGTTAGACACAAAGATGAATTATTTCAAAAACCAAGCTATTAAAAGTTTTTACTTCTCTAATGTATGTATATGTGTGCTTTGTTTTTCATTGCTAATACTCCATAGGCAGTCTTGGTCAAAAAACATTCTCTTAGCAACAAAAATAAAGGTTCAAAGTTTGATTCTGACATAAATGACTTGTATATTCTTTTTAAGAACATAAGGAGCTACAGGCCTCAAATAGGGTGCCTCCTCCCCCAAATAGGGAGACATCTGAATTTGAAGCCAGTAAGTCAGCAAAAAATTAAACTATCTGTTGAAGAAACCCCCCTGGGAGATGACTTACAAATGAGTTCCTGATGAGACTATTTATACTTTCGTGGACCAGGAATAAATAATATGGTAAGCTGCAGAATAAAACTGTCATAACATAAGGAAAACTACATGGAACTTGAAAAGGATATAGGAAATAAAATATCAGGGCACCTCTATGGGCTAGGAAAGAGATGAGATTTTGGCAGAGATAAGCATTCTAATTAATGATGAAGCAGGAAAAATTCTCCAAGTCTTACCTCAGCACAACTGAAATATTACCCCAATTTATCAATCTTCCTTTGCTCATACCTGTGTTTACCAAGTAACTTCCTGTTTCCTAATTGTTTACCATAGGCAGACCTATCACTATGAATTAATACATTTATATTCTAACTGGGGAATCTCCAAGTCTCTCAAGTTTCATCAGTGGGAAATGGTTTCTCAAGCTGAGGGTCAGACCCTGGATCTATGTCCACCTATGTTACATCCTGGGAGACCCAGCTGGAACAGCCAGCCAAATGATCTCTCTCTTTTTGCTATCCACCCTCACCTTTCTCACCAACTTCTAACTGTAACACAGGTCACCACAATCTTGTATATGTCTGTATCCATCTGAAAAATAAAATCACATGTCATATATTGGTAAACAACCAAATGAAGATGGCTAAGACACTAGAATAACAGCAAGGTTATTAGGAAGAAAAATGGTCTTTATCAATAAATAAATCCACAACTGCTCTTTTAACTCCCCAAACAGATTACTGTTCTTACTAAAGCAGGTCCATGTCCCTCATATTCCACTTATAGAAGATATACATTATTTAAGGAGTCTAGTGGGGACCCAAATCCAGATGTTCTGGGCATCTGTTTGGTATGACTTTACTCAAAAGAAGGCACTAAAAAAACTGAACCTGAATCTGATCAATCTTATTTGTTTACAGGATATACAGGAGGCATAAAAACAAGTTAATGACTTCACAGTGATACAATCAACAAAATCCAGAATATGTGTGGAAACTTTAAAGACAAAACAACTAGATTTCTTAAATAATTTAAGGGGGAAAAGAAAAGGTAACTTATAAATTAAACAGACTTCAATAAATAACAACCAAATGCAATGTATGAACCTTGTGTGGTACCTATTTCAAGCAAACCAACAGTTAAAGAGAATTAACAGTCTAGACAGTTGATCATATTAAGAAACAGTTCAACTTTTTAGGTGTGATAATGGTATTGTGGGGTTTTTCTAATTTTTAAAGATACACACTAAAGTAGTTATGACGCCAGGCATGGTGACTCATGCCTATAATCCCAGCACTTTGGGAGGCTGATCACTTGAGGCCAGGAGTTCAAGACCAGCCTGGCCAACTATAAAATATATAAAAATTAGCTGGGCACGGTGGCTCATGCCTGTAATCCCAGCACTTTGGGAGGCAGAGGGGGACGGATCACTTGAGGCCAAGAGTTCAAGACCAGTCTGGCCAACATAGCGAAACCCCATCTCTACCAAAAATACAAAATTAGCCGGGCATGGTGGCACGTGCCTGTAATCCCAGCTACTCAGGAGGCTGAGGCACAAGAATCGCTTGAACCCGGGAGGTGGAGGTTACAGTGAGCCAAGATCGTACCACTGCACTCCAGCCTGGGCAACAGAGCAAGACCCTGTTTCAAAAAAAAAAAAAAAAGAATAAAGTAGTTATGGATGAAATGATAGGATGTCTGGGATTTGCTTCAAAATAATTGGGGGGTGGGGAGAAATAATTGAGGTATAGATGAAATAAGACTGACCATAAACTGAAACTGGGTGATGGATATGGAGAGGTCCATTATACTATTCTCCAGACTTCTTAATATGTTTAGAATTTTCCATTGAAGTTTTTTTTAAAAAAACAATCAACAAAACACACACACACACACACACACACATACACACACACACACACACACACACACGAGAATGAGCACTGCTGGGTCCCCTGGAGTAATAGAATAAAATTCCTAGTCTAGTTTCTAGCCCCATTTAACTAGACAGTTTCTCTAGAGGTCTACCATAAAATGGCAATCCATTGACCAAGTCCTGCTCTTCACTCTTATATCATTAGCCTAAGAAAGGACATTAGTTGTATGAGTTTGCTTACTTACCAGATACCTTTTAATGTCCAAGTTTGCTACCCAATTTTAACTTGAGTTTAAGAAAACTTAAAATAATTTCTGAAGCTAACAGAATTTTAGCATCTGGTGAATTTATTCAGCATAACCACAGGCATTATCTTCATGCTGTCACACACAGACACAAACACAGATACAGCACAATATCCATATTTAGCCCAAGTGCATTCCTTCTGAGGCTCATTTATATGTCTTCATATGCCACAGCCCATCATTTAAATAATGGATATTTTCAATGCCAATTCCTTTGTTGACTTTCTCACTGTAGAAGGAAAAAAAACACATAAACATACTTTTATGCATTTTTATAGTCTTACTCGTGATAAATATAATTCAAAGTATATTGTTATTTTTTAATTATTAAGCCACAAGTAAAGAACTTATTGACATCACAATTACATTGTTGTTTATATTAAACTACATTACTCTGTGGCAGCTCATATCTAAAAGTGATTTTAGTGATCTAACTAGTGGGTCTATAGAACCAGAGTAACAATGTCACAAGACTAGGGGAATATCAAAGTGCTACATTAACCCTGAAACAAAATTAATACCACTAATTTGGTCATCAAATGGGTTCTAAAATTTTTAAATATACTGCCTATGTTTTGATAATATATCTTTACTAGTTCTCTAAATATTCTACATTTCTTGTATTACCAGGTCAGGATATAAGATACTGTGTGGTGGTGAGATATATCACTGTTTTTAAAACTAGCAGTAATGACCAGGTGCAGTGGCTCACACCTGTAATCCCAACACTTTGGGAGGCCGAGGTGGGTGGATCACTTGAGGTCAGGAGTTCGAGACTGGCCTGGCCAACATGGTGAAACCCCATCTCTACTAAAAATACAAAAATTAGCTGGACATTATGGCGCACACCTGTAATCCCAACTACTTGGAAGGCTGAGGCACAAGAATCGCTTGAACCTGGGAGGCAGAGGTTGCAGTGAGGCGGGATCGCGCCACTGCACTCCAGCCTGGGCAACAGAGTGAGACTCCATCTCAAAAAAACTTAAAAAAATAAAAATAAAAATAAATAAAATGAAGCTAGCAGTAAAACATCTTCCCTCCTCCCCCAATTTAAATGATACTAAATAAGATTCCTAAAGTACCACGTACACACATATAAAACAGCTGTGTTGGCACATGGGTTCTTTTCAGTGCTTAAGAAAGACTACAATCCTGAAGACAAAATAGGTTTCATTGGCTTCCTAAGTGTTAGGAAATATCAGAAATGAAGCTTCTGTGCTTGGATATTTGTGTAATGTGGTATGCATGATAGCAAATTTCACCTGTAATTCTGATGCTTCCTGGGTTGGTTACCCATATATCAAAAGTTAAGGGGGCCTAAAGTAAGACTTACATGTCTTCTGCAGACATCTTCATGACTCCAACACATAGAGCATGCTGTTTTCCTTCTGCCATGATAGCCTGAAAGAACACAGCTAAGAAAACTATTTATCAAAATGCCTTGGGGCCTCCCCATCAAGGGAAGGGTGTCAAATAATGATCATGTTACTAGTTAAGCCACTTGGAACCCCTCTTGTGTCTTCTCCTAGACCATTAACTCCTTGAGAGCAGAGACCTAGCAGAGTCTGTGGGTACACTGTAAATACTCAGTAAATGCTAAATGAATAAATCTAATAACCCCTTTTCTTTCAAGTCAAATGTTAATACTATAACCCCATGCTAACAAAACCAGAATAAGTCACACAAAAAAGGAGTAAAATTTCTTGCACATAAATACTAAAAACTGTGAAATCAATAAATATTAATTGTTCTGATTAATTATTCTGATCACTGACTAGTGGGGATTTTTGTTTGTTCTTGAGACAGAGTCTCACTCTGTTGCCCAGGCTGGAGTGCAATGGCGCAGTCTTGGCTCATTGCAACCTCTGCCTCCCGGGTTCAAGCAATTCTCCTGCCTCAGCCTCCCGAGTAGCTGGTGCTACAGGCGTGTGCCACCACACCCAGCTAATTTTTGTATTTTTAGTAGAGATGGGATTTCACCATGTTGGCCAGGCTGGTCTTGAACTCCTGACCTCATGATCCGCCTGCCTCAGCCTCCCAAAGTGGTGGCATTATAGGCGTGAGCCACCATAGCCGGCCGTTTGTTTTTTTGAGATGGAGTCTTGCTTTGTCACCCGGCTGGAGTGCAGTGGCATGATCTCAGCTCACTGCAACTTCTGCCTCCTGAGTTCAAGCAATTCTCCTGCCTCAACCTCCCTAGTAGATGGGATTACAGGCGCATGCCACCCCACCCAGCTAATTTTTGTATTTTTAGTACAGACAGGGTTTCGTCATGTTGGCCAGGCTTGTCTCGAACTCCTGACCTCAGGTGATCTGCCCGCCTCAGCCTCCTAAAGTGCTGGGATTACAGGCATGAGCCACCACACCCGGCCTGAATGGTGGTTTTATGTAAAGGCTGTTTTAAAATAATAGGTAAATTCCCAGTCTATCTTTAAGAGCCTGATATAACAGTTTCAACCTTTCTAGAAAAACCAGAGTGGTCTTGGTTAACATATGAAGTTTCTGGAATGTTAAACACTGCAGTACATATTTTAAAAAGTCAAGATTCAGGGTACACAAGACCTCTCTGTACCATTTTCTTTAACAACTTTCTCTAAATCTGTAACTGTTTCAAAATAAAAATTATTTTTAAAAGTAAAGACTAGGTACTAAGGAAATTTTCCATTTAAGGTTAACTCCAGAACTATAAATTTACCAACACTTAATAAATATTAAAAACAAACAACAACAACAAAAAACCCGTCCTCACTTTTCTCCCTTGATTTTCAATTCACTCAGTGTTCCAAATATGTGAGCACCTATTAGGCAAAAAGCATGTCAACATAAGCTGTTCCTAGAATATAAACATACTACTTATACTACCTCTTCGCTATAACTGCCCCAACAGAGAATATCATTTTTTTTTCTTATTCTTCTTAAACACACCCCTGGCCAGGTGTGGTGGCTCACACCTGTAATCCCAGCACTTTGGGAGGCCAAAGCGGGTGGATCACCTGAGGTCAGGAGTTTGAGACTAGCCTGACCAACATGGTGAAACCCTGTCTCTACTAAAAATACAAAAATGAGCCGGGCGTGGTAGTGGGTGCCTGTAACCTCAGCTACTCGAGGGGCTGAGGCAGGAGAATTGCTTGAACCCAGGAGGCAGATGTTGCAGTGAGACAAGATCGTGCCACTGCACTCCAGCTTGGACGACAGAGCGAGACTCCATCTCAAAAACTAAAATAAGATAAACACACTCTAAAAGTAGTTTCCCTATTCCCACCAAGTACCATTCCTTTTCTATACCCGAGGCAAATGGCTACTTTAGCTATGATAAAGGAGAAGATGTTCTCCTGTCCAGAATAGTCACAAAAATCTATTTAATCCAGAAAATAGCTGAAACAGCATGGTAGAAATGGAAATAATGCAGAATTATTCAGCTATGTCATGAGTTGAATCGATCTTTAAGGACCATCTGGGACTCTGACATTTCTCTTTGAGAAAACGTGCTCTGAGGCCCCCAAACTCAACTTTTCAAATAATTAATTTTCAAAATAAAAGTTGGAGGTTGCCAATATTTCCCACTATTCACTCCTAACACAAAATTGTTGCTTGGTAAGAGATACCTATACCTGGTGCCTAAATTCTTTTCCCTTTTGAGAGCTTTCACTCCAACGTATGTCAGTAAGTCAAAATGAACATTACAGTGGCAAGTTGATATCCAAAAAGCTGATCCAATTATATCATCTATATCCTTTCCCCTAGTAATCAAGAATTCCCTATTGTGTCCTAAGTCTGATAACAGTAGGCCCTGACTGGGCTGAAATGCAGCTGAGACTCTTCTGTAACTTGTTCTCATTTAACTTCTAAGAAACGACCTAAGATGAGATAATTTAGTAGCAACAAATAAAATTACTTTGTACAACTTCAAATGTAACCAGAAAGGCATGAGATAAGAGTAACAGTAACCTTCAAAAAAGTACATCTAATGTTCTCTTGGATGGTACACCTTTCGCAGTAATGATAAGAGCACAATGAATACATTTTTCAGCAGTTTTAGCCTGGGAAGGATACAACAATGGTATCTACTGCAGCAGGGTAAAGCTTAGCTCCAGGAGAAGTTAAGCCTGGACACATGATATTTGCTCCACTGAGTACAAATTTGATGGCTCCTTTATCAACCTGCTGGTGTGGCAGGATAAAAGGATCTGTAAGAAAAGATATACAATATATTAATAATAAGACTAATGACTCAACAGAAAAAGGCAAAGGATCTGAACAGTATTTCCCCAAATTAATCTGACAGATACAAAAGAAAACTCTGAAACACTATCATTTGTTTACCAAATTGGTAATCTTTTTTGTTTGTTTTTTTGAGACAGGGTCTTGCTCTGCCACCCAGGCTGGAGTACAGTGGAGCAATCAATACCTCACAATAACCTTGAACTCTTGGACTCATGCAATCTTCCCGCCTCAGCATCCCAAGTATTCTCCAAAAACCGTAATTTCAAAACTATGGTTTTTGGAGACTACTTAATATGCCCTGGGAAATTTTTGTGATATAATGTTAAGTGAAAAACGCAGAGTAAAAAAACGATTAAAAAGATCAGTGGTTACCTGGGGTTGGGGAAGTGGGGGGAGGAAGGATGAATAGGTGGAGCACAAAGGATGTTAGGCCAGTAAAACCATTCTGTATGATACTTTAACAGTAGATACTTGACATGTATTTGGGAAAAACCATAAAACTGTAGAATACAAAGAGTAAACCCTAATGTAAACTAAGGACTTGCGTTAATAATAATGTATCAATGCTGGTTCAATTGTTACAAATGTATCATTCCAAAACAAGATGTTATTCATAGGGGAATCTGAACTGGGGAGAGGGAACTCTATTCTTTCTGCTTACTTTTTCTGGAAACCTAAAACTGCTCTAAAAAATAAAAGCCTGTTAATTTAAAAAAAAACTACAAGGGGATGAGGAGAAGTTGGTTAAGGGGTATAAAAATACAGGTCGATAAGTTCTAGTATTCGAGAGTACAATAAGGAAATTATATTTAACAATGATTTACTCTATATTTCAAAATAGCTAGAAGAATTGTAATCTTCTCAACACAAAGATAAACGTTTGAGGTGACAGATACCCTAATTACCCTGATTTGATCATTACACGCTGTATAAAGGTATCAAATATCACATGTACCCCTAAAATATGTACAACTATTATAAATATATATAGGTGGTGGGGGATACAGGCACCACAACAGCAGACAATGTACAGCTATGACGTATCAATTTTTAAAAACTATGTAACAGAGAGCCCAATTTTAAAAAAAAATGCATTTACACACATCACAGGAAATACCTGGACGGAAGGACACTTAGTCAATGCTTTCCCATATATAGACTTTTCTCTATTAGGCAAATAGATACAAATATAAAAGATGAAAATGCTCACAATGCTTATCACAGTTTGTAAATACATATTTGCGTAATTATCTAATTGTTGTTTATTCTCCAAACTAGACTATTAGTTTCTTAAGGACAGAGACAATGTCTTTGCTTCCCATTGTATTCTCAGCACCTAGCTGAATGCCTAGCACATAGTAAGTTCAATAAATATTTGTCTTTTTTTTTTTTTTTTTTTTTTTGAGACTAAGTCTCGCTCTTGTTCCCCAGGCTAGAGTGCAATGGCGTGATCTCTGCTCACTGCAACCTCCGCCTCGCGGGTTGAAGTGATTCTCCTGCCTCAGCCTCCCGAGTAGCTGGGATTACAGGCACCTGTGACCACGCCCGGCTAACTTTTGTATGTTTAGTAGAGACGGGGTTTCACCATGTTGGCCAGGCTGGTCTCGAACTCCTGATCTCAGGTGATCCACCCGCCTTGGCCTCCCAAAGTGCTGGGATTACAGGCGTGAGCCTCCGTGCCCGGCAATAAATATTTGTTGAATGAATTAATAAATGATCTTTCTTGGGCTTTCTGGAATGCATGAGAGAATCTGCATTTTTCAGATTTACCACAAGATGGGCATTCATTTTAGTTTTACATCCATTATTACCTAGTACTAATAAATAATGAGTCAATTATCAGAAGTCACTCTAAACTCTTTTTGTGTCTTTCAGTATTCCCAAATGCATATTTCTGTTTTTCTCCCCCAGCAGTGTCTTATCTGATTAAATGCATATTTCTTACAAGACTTTACATTTGAATATTGCAATAGGAGTAAAATTTCAAAAAATAAAAATAAAAAAACCTTACATTTGTGAAGTAATCTTAGGGTTGGATAAAAAGGCCCTTCTCTTTGTCTAAAAAAGAGTAATTCTCCATTTACTGTAAGGATTTCTATATGTTCATGGCTGTAAGACAAATGTCACAAAGTACCAAGTTAGATATTTTCTTTCAAAAATTCACAATATAAAACACGCATATACAGTGATAAACTTTCTTAAAAAGTCAGTAAAAATCCTGGCCAAAAAATATTGTTTACATTGTTTTTCCTATCATGCAAGTCCAGTAGAGAAAAAAAGAAAAATATTACCTGCTACAACCAATTTTATTTCACATTTTATTAATTCCATTGTTAGGTAATTCAATAAAACAATTCTCTAAACAACAAACTGAAATAAATTAAATCCAACTCTGAACTAAAACATTTAACTCTTTACTAGAACAATCAATACACAAAGCCACATTTTTTCAGGGACATAGAAAATCTTTGAAAATACAAATATTGGAGTTTTAGAGTTATTCTGTGTCTACCCCATTATTAATCTATCAATAGTTAATCTGAAAATAATTCCATTTAGTATGAGTGCAATCTAATCATTAAATATTCAGCTATACCGAGCTTTACACAGACAAAAACAAAGACTTACCATCGGACTATTTTGACAGGATCTTTCTTAGGCATGATTTGATTAAGCCATGGTTCAATACCTGGAAATTGCTCTATCAATTGATTCTTAATACCCTTAATAACTGAAGTTTTCAACTGGATGCAGTTGGACACATTTTCTTTTTCATCAAATCTGCCAAGTAATTTTTGCAAGAAAAGAAAAGGCATTTCTAAGTAGAGGTATCAGAATACCTAAAGGTACTGTTCTAATTAGTCATTTATTCCCAACCAAGTATTTAGATACTTAATTATGAAATAAATTGTTCTTTTAAAAAAAAATACCATCTCCCTTTTACTCTGTCCAGCACAAAACCAATGTCTTAATACAATATTGAAATAAACTGTCAAGTATACAGCAATTAGCTGGGGTTAGGGGGAGGAATATGAGACATACTTTGCACCATAATCTGTAATTAGCTACACAAATGCCTTTCCTGGAAAATCTTATTCAATTCTACCCAGGAAGAAACACAGGCTCCCACCAATAATAAAACCTGAGATCAGAAAACAAAACCCTCAATTCTTGAGATACAAAAGACCAACCCAAGCATAACATAGAAAATCGGCCCCTGCTAGGCTATGTAATCTGCTGAGATTTTTTTTAAGTGATGATAATAATGATTTCTAAGATCCCTATTCGTTTTTGCTCAAAATTTCATGCACAAAACCCACCTTCCTTTGCCCATGTTCCCCCTTTGCTTTTTGCGTCTACCAAATCTGGAAGGCAAACCCACTAGTAGGTTCCCAAGGAATTTTTGTCTTCCTTACACTGAATAGCCTATGGGGCAATCGTTATTTTCAAGGCAAGGTTAATCTGGCAGCTAGGCAATAGGCATGACAGGCCGCTTGCTTCCTGTCACCCAGACTCCTTCACTCCCATGACCCAGGAAGTCAAGCCTTCCTTTATTCAGTTCATAACTAATAAACATATGGCAGTGAGCGCAGGGCTCCCCTCTCAGCTACAGAGAATATGCCTCTAAATCACAGTGCACGGATGTGATTGGTAGAACCCTAGGAATGGAGACAGAATTGGGGGAGGGGGCAAAAGAGAAAGAGGGGTAAGGAGAAAAAACAATGGGAGTGGAGGGACTGAAACCCAATTAAGGACTACGGATGGAAAGCTTAAAGAAGTGTTCAAGTTGGGAGTGAGAGCATAGTACTATAGAAAACCTTAGGGAGTCAGGATGGCAGGGGCGGGGGAGAGAGAAAGAGGATCTTAGCTCTCGCCCTCTTCCCCACCCCCACCCCACCGCCTTTGTGAGCAGCCGATGGAGGCCACAGCATGTCCTTACTTCTTGAACATGATCCAAGGTGAAGGGGGCGACGATAGGGAAGGGCCCGGAATGGGAAAGAAATTGAATTTGCAGGGGTCCGGCAGATCCCCTCACACGAGGAAGGCCGGCACTGACAGTCGGAGCTGTAGTCGTTATCCGGAAAACGAGAGCCAGCCGCGCTTTACGGCTCTCAGTCAAATCTGACTACTTCCGCTCCTCTGGACTCCACGTAGGCGCTTTTGCCGGCTCCTTTTAGGCAACCGGTTCCTCAGCAGTTGGAGGTAGCTGAAAGGGCGGGACTTGAGAGGGAAGAAGTGATAGAGCAATTGCAGGAAGAGAAGAATGGAGGGGGCGGAGAATCAATCAAAGTAGCATTTATGGCACTTGCGTCAGTTACGGGTTCCTCAAAGGGTCAAGATTCTTCCGTGCTTCGTTGCTACCTATCGTCAAAGTAAACGATTTTTTTAGAGGGAATGGTTTCTGTCCTGTCTGAGGCAACCGAATGGATTGGTGCTTACCTACCAGCATGAATCCAGGCAACCCTCATGGCTTCATGTTAAAGTGCTGGTAGGATTGCCAGGTTTAGCAAATGAAAATACAGGATGCCTATTTAAATTTGCATTTCAGGTAAACAATGAATATTTGTTTTAGTGTAAGTATACCTCATTAATATTTTGGATATACTTACACTAAAAATATACAGCGCTTGTTTAGCTGAATTTAATTGAGCATCCTGTTTTTTATCTTATAACCTTATTCACTGGCAACCGTACGATGCTCCCAAAGTTTTTTGCGGGTTTTTATTGAGACAGGGCCTCACTCTTGCCCAGGCTTGAATGCGGTGGTGCTATCATGGCTCACTTGCAGCCTCTACCTCCTTGGCTCAAGGGATCTTCCCACTTCAGCCTCCCAAGTAGCATGGACTACAGGCACACACCATCATGCCCGGTTAATTTTTTTATTTTTATTATTATTATTATTATTGTAGAGACGGGGTCTATGTTGCTCAGGCTGGTTGCAAAGTCCTGGGCTCAAGCAGTCCTCCCACCTTGGCATCCCAAAGTGCTGGGGTTACAAGCGTGAATGACTGTGCTCCCGTAGAATAATTCCCATAGAATTATTACAGAAGGTAATCTGATTTAAGAGATAATAGCTAAAGAGACATGTTTTACTTATGTAATTTTTTTAAAAATAAAGCTGATAGAGAAACAAAATTATGCCAATCAAGAGTTTCACTTTGTTTTTTGTTTTAGAGACAGCATCTCACTCTGTCACCTAGGCTGGAGTGCAGTGGCATGATCACGGTTCATTGGAGTTGCAACTTCCCAGGCTCAAGTGACCCTCCCGCCTCAGCCTCCGGAGTAGTTGGTACTACAGGCATGCACTACCACACCTGGCGAATTTTAATTTTTTGTAGAGACAGGCAGGGTCTCACTAAGTTGCCCAGACTGATCTTGAACTCCTGGCCTCGAGCAATTCCCCGAACTCAGCCTCCCGAAGTGTTGGGATTACAGCCATGAGCTACTGTGCCTGGCCTAATCAAGGGTTTTGATCAGCCAAGAAATCATGGAAAAATTTAAAAACCTGAAAAGGCCCTACGCAGGAGGTGGGGTGGGTAGGCACTGACATCCAAAACAAATACACCAGTCTCCCCAGGGAGTAAATACTCTAGTCCATATTGAGGAGACGGGCCATTAGAGCAATTATAGCAAACAGTACTATGCATTTAAATGATCCAACTAACACCTTGTCTTAATTCTATGGTATGAACAATATTCTGATTATAATTTGGCTTCCCATGAAGATCTGCCCACAGGGAAAGAATTAGCTACGTTCCAATCAAATCTGCATGAACAATTATGTTTGCATTTGTAAATTAATAAATTGGCATTCTGGTTTATACAACACTCTCTTGTGAACATCCTTAGTGAGAATCCACATTCCCAGCATCCATCAACTCTGCAACATTTAGAATATTGACATTATGAACATGTGAAACTGATGTCCAGACCCCAAGCTGTGGTGACTGCCACACTGGCAGGATTATTTTTTTTTAATTTTTATGGGTACCTAGTAGGTGTATAAATTTATGGGGTATATGAGATGTACAGGCATGCAATGTGAAATAAGCACATCATAGAAAACGGGGCGTCCATCCCCTCAAGTATTTATCCTTTGAGTTACAAACAATTCAATTATGCTCTTTAACTTATTTTAAAATATACAATTAGGTTATTATTGACTATAGTCACAGTACTAGTTCATTCTCACACTGCTAGAATACCTGAGTCTGTGTAATTTATAAAGTAAAGAAGTTTAATTGACTCACAGTTCTGCATGGCTGGAGAGGGCTCAGGAAACTTACAATCATGGCAGAAGGGGAAGCAAACACATCCTTCTTCACAAGGTGGCAGGAGAAAGAAGTGTGTGGAGCAAAGGGTGAAGAGCCCCTTATAAAACTATTAGATCTCGTGAGCACTCACTCACTATCACAAGAACAGCATGCAGAAAGCCACCCCCATGATCCAATCACCTCCCACCAGGTCTCTCCCCAGACATGTGGGGATTATGCAGATTACAATTCAAGATGAGATTTGGGGGGGACACATCCAAACCATGTAAGTCACCCTATTTTGCTATCACATAGAAGGTCTTAGTCATTCTTTCTGTTTTTAATACCTATTAGCCAACCCCACCTCCACTACCCAACCCCCCACTACCCAACCCCCCACTATCCTTCCCAGCACCTGGTAACCATCCTTCTATTCTGTGTGTCCATGAGTTCAATTGATTTGATTTTTAGATCCCACAAATAAGTGAGAACATGTGACGTTAGTCTTTCAGGGCCTGGGTTATTTCACTTAACATAGTCAACTCCAGTTCCATCCATGTGATTGCAAATGACAGGATCTCATTTTTTTATGGCTGAATAGTACTCCATTGTGTATCTGTACCACATTTTCTTTATCCAAACATCTGTTGATGGACACTTAGGTTACTTCCAAATCTTAGCTGTTGTAAACACCGCTGTAAGAAACATAGGAGTGCAGATATTTCTCTGATATACTCATTTCCTTTCTTTTTGGGTAGATACCCAGGAGTAGGATTGCTGGATCATATGGTAGCTCAATTTTTAGCTTTCTGAGGAACCTCCAAACTGTGCTCCATAGTGGTTGTACTAATTTACATTCCCACCAACAGTGTACAAGTGTTCCCTTTTGTCCACATCTTCACCAGCATTTGTTATTACCTGTCTTTGGATATAAGCCATTTTAACTGGGGTGAGATGATATCTTGTAGTTTTGATTTGCATTTCTCTCATGACCAATGATGCTGAGCAACTTTTCTTTTGCCTGTTTGCCATTTGTGTGTCATCTTTTGAGAAATGTCTATTCAAATATTTTGCCAATTTCTTGATTGTATTATTAGATTTTTTCCTATAGAGTTGTTTGAACTCCTTATATATTCTGGTTGTTAATCACTGGTCAGATGGGTAGTTTGCAAATATTTTCTCCCATTCCATGGGTTGTCTTTTCACTTTGGTGATTGTATCCTTTGCTGTGCAGAAGCTTTTTAACTTTATGCAATGCAGTTTGCCCATGTTTGCTTTGGTTGTCTGTACTTGTTGGGTATTGCTCAAGAAGTCGTTGCCCAGACCAATGTTGTGGAGATTTTCCCCAATGTTTTCTTGCAGTAGTTTCATGGTTTGAGGTCTTAGATTTAAGTCTTTAATCCATTTTGAATTGACTTTTTTATATGTCAAGAGAGAGTCTCGCTCTGTTGCCCAGGCTGGAGTGCAGTGGCGCGATCTAAGCTCCCTGCACCCTCTGCTTCCCGGGTTCAAGAAATTCTCCTGCCTCAGCCTCCTGAGTAGCTAGGATTACAGGCGTGTGCCACCATGCCCAGCTAATTTTTTTTTTGTATTTTTAATAGAGATGGTGTTTCACCATATTGGCCAGGCTGGTCTCAAACTCCTGACCTAGTGATCTGCCCACCTTGGACTCCCAATGTGCTCAGATTATAGGTGTGAGCCACCGTGCCCGGCCAGTGTATTTTACTTTTCATTATAGAGACCTTTCACTTCTTATAGTTCAGTCAATTCCTAGGTATTTAATTTTACATGTGGCTATTGTAAATGAGATTATTTTTTAAATTTCTTTTTCAGATTGTTCACTGTTGGCATATAGAAATGCTACTAATTTTTGCATTTTGATTGTGTATCCTACAATTCTAATGAATTTATCAGTTCTAATAGTTTTCTCATGGAGTCTAGTTTATTCTAAATATAAGATCATATCATCAACGAACAAGGATAATTTGACTTCTTCTTTTC